>NC_000003.12:173402543-173554058 GCF_000001405.40 Homo sapiens | reverse complement strand
CAACTGCTATTACAAAGATAATCAAAAATAAATGTCCAAGAATCAAACAAGTTGCAGTTCTCATAAGCCATCTTAATCAACTTATCCTTGCTCTTTCTCACTACTTCTCTTTGATGTGCGAATATCACCTATTATTCCCAGGGGGAAAATTTAGTCTCCTTTCCGATCCAAAAATCAGTGCCCTGCATATCAGCCAGCAGAGGGCTCAATGAGTAACTTTCCAAGTCTTCACAAAATAGCTAAGAGCCCTTCTGTTAGTCGGCTTTTCTAAACATATAATTTGCCTCTTAAATCTGCACAGGCTGTGTAGCTGATTATTCTTATTAGTTGTTAAACCTAACCACTACTTATGTTCACTCAAACAGTTCTCTTTTCACTTGTCACATATATTCAATTATTCACAGGCATTTGTTATTCCTTGACTGGACAAATCCTAGAATTTCAGACTTCAAAGTGACCTCTGAGGTCATTTTTCTGTAGTCTTTCAGTTCAAACCTCTTACTTATGAGGCTCTTTCAACAGAGCCCATGACAGATATTGGGTAAACCTCGGCTTGAAGAAAGGAGATAAATAGATTTCATTTGTGAGAAAAAGCATTGCACTTACACATAGTTCAATTATCTGGCACCAAAATCTCTCTTCCTGTGAATTCTATTTGTTGATCCTAGTAATTAATTCTCTCTGGGTCTATAAAGAGTAATTGCCATTCCTATTCTAGTGGACAACCCTTCATATATTTAGAACCTCTTCTTGATGTTTCCTTAGGTCTTGGGATCAGGCTTAGTAAATAATATAATTTCCTTTTTGCATCTATTCACAGGCAATTAGTTATCTTTTTATCCAGATTTATTTCTTAAGGTACTAGTTAACTATGGTGATCCCATAGTTTGGGAATTTGGATTTTCAAGGCGAATCCTCCAAGTATTTACAATTTGGAGGCATAAGGAGCTCCAAAGTCAGGAATAGCTTTGTGATCTAACGCACTGCCCCGTAAATTTTAATGTGCACTGAATTACCTGAGAATTTTACTAAAACATAGTACTTGATTTAATAGTTCTGAGCCAGGGACAGAGAGAACATATTTTTAGCAAGATTTTATGTCTCTGATCCATGGATCATATTTTGAGTAACAGGATCTAAATAGAATTTCTCATACAGATTTCAAGTTTCAAAAATATAGCATGTTTTTCCACACTACTGTGTGTTATATAAACATACAAGTATGACAAAACATTAACAGTACCACACATGTATAAACAAATGATGCTGAGACAGCCAGGTGGGAAGGGCTCCCTGGCAAAACTGCAACTGGCCTGCGTGCCCAGCTAGAGACTCAGGAAGTTCATGCCGTTTGCAGGCAGGAGGAGCCTGGCTCCTCCTCTTCCTGTGTGAAACGTGGAATTCAATCTGTGAGGTGGGAAGACTACTAGCAAGAACTCTGGCCTTGTGGAGAGTCCTTGTTACCCCCTTTTTCCTTTTTGCCCAATAAATCCCATTATTCTCACCCTTCAAATCGTCTGCAAGCCTCAAGTTTTGTGGCTGTGGATCAAGGACTCCTTTTTCAGCTAACCTAGGGAAAAGTCCTGCAACAATGCCACTTAATGCAACAACCTCAAATTTGTAGGAAAAATTAGAGGCACTCATATTAGGTCTCCACTGCTAACAATTATTATCTGATGCATAGATCCTTTGAGAAAAAAAAAACTCTCTCAAATTATTTCTGCATAGTTAAAGGTCAATAATTGCTCAAAACTTGTCCTGTAATTAAAACCACAATGACTTCTTCTGACCTGTTGAGAGTGATTTCCATAGGCTGACTTTCTCTCCTCCCCAGTGGTCAGCTCTTACTATAGCCATCAAAAAGATTTCTCCACATTTTCATGAGGGTGAAAATAAATTTCTCCTCCAGGGGATTAGGCTCACATACTGCAGAAATTTTCTCATGTGTGATAGTATGACTATTCTGCAATAAGTCTATTTCAATATGGAGGAAGTAATTTTCTCTTCTCAAAGGAGGAGATCATTCATTTCTTAACAGTAGCCAGCTCCTGAATGGCTTACAAAGAGTATTTTCTATCACTTTTGATATATTTGTTTTACTTAGTTTCCTACTATTTACTAATAGGTGCCTAGGAGCCAAATAGCAGCCACTACAACTATTTTTGAGTGTCCACCTCATGTAAAGTTTTGGTGTCAGCCAGGCTTACAGAATTCTGAAGAAGTAGGTACAATAGTTACCATTATATGAGTGAAAAAACGTAAGTTCAGAGATGTGAAGTAGCTTGTGTGGGGGTCACATGAGTAGTAAATGGGTAACCTGGAATATGGAGCCGGATGATTTCGGTACCAAGATCACAATGCAACCCTGCCTGCCTTTGAAAGAAATTTCACATTACTCCATAAAAAGTTTTCTCTTGAAGCAAGTAATTATAATAATCCTTAAAATTAAAGGATTCCATCATAGTACGTTCGGAGTACATGTAAAAGAAAAAATGATTTTTTTAAATGTGAACTATCCTCTGGGCATAAATATAAGCCTTCTTAGGCTCAGAGATCATTAACAAGAATTGATGTCAAACACAATATTTAAAAAACATGAAACAATTGCTCCAGCTTTTAAGCTATTTAAAGCTCACATATTAACTAAGTGGTAAAGAGTATACAAGCAATTTAATGAATCCATAATACAGATATTAGCAGAATCCATAATACAGATATTAGCTTCTGCCTGTAGCTTACACATCGAGCTGCTTTAGTTTTGTGGTTTGTTTTCTAAAATATGATGACCTTTAATTTCAACTCTATTTTTGCTTGTTATTTGGAAAAACTTTTAGCAAGATCCTGAAAATTACACTATTTATCACTAAGATTCCTCTAATTTCTGTGACAAATCACCTCACCTTATTTCCACAACTCCAGTCCAACTTAATCTGTGACTTCTCCACCGTTAAAGTTATCAATGAAGGTGAGACAAGATTAGAAGTGATTAGAAGAACCAGAATGAGCTTTCTCAAATAAGGTGATAATGCAGTAAAGGCAGAAATCTGCTTAGATTTGTAAAAATATTTGAGATGAGAGGAGACAAGCTGTCATGTGTATAGGGAGAAAAATCGGAAGCTCTCAAGTGTATAGGGAGAAAAATCGGAAGAATATTTAAATAAAAATGTATCCCTTATACAATGTAGCGAAAAGTGAATAGGTTATAATATATATTTTAATGAATCACAGCCATTCAATGTCTATAATGTTTCTGAATAGTACCCTAGTTTGCATTCTGCTGTTTAAGACACTAGTGTACCATTAACGCCTGTGTTAGTAAAATTAACTTCAGTAAGTAGTTGTCTAATGGTCTCAAAAAGACATTGCAGGTTTAGTAAAATTAACTTCAGTAAGTAGCTGTCTAATGGTCTCAAAAAGACATTGCAGGTTACAAATGTGGTTTGTAAACATTATGCATTTTCCAAGTATTTAGCAAATGCTATTTTTTTCAGCAGTCTTAGGAAATATACTTATTATCAAATGGCCATATCAGAGCTCCTATGTGTTAAAGGGAAATGTAAGATAAATAGCTAACATAATTCTTATTGATGAATTCATGTGGGTTATTTCCTTTACCTTCCTGCTCTTCTTGAACTTGAGTTCTTTGTGAAGATTGGTGGAGGATATAATAACAGCAGATGATCCTTCCTTGACAACATGCATGTGTGCCGAAACACGCTATTCATCAAAACATGACATATATTTTATCCCATTATCTAATCAAGAGAAGAGGATAATATTATAGCTGATTTTTGTTCTATCTCTCTGCATATATTATAAACAAAATTTTATTCATTTTAATTATCTAAATATAATTGGCGTTCACATGTCCCTTGAAAAAAGTCTTTAAGATTGCTAAAGAAAAATTTAGAACAAGCTGCCATATTGTATGGCATGTAGGCAGCATGAAGACCTTCAATTGAGATATTAAAAATCAAGCCTTGACTGAACCAACAACAGGATTCATGACACTTTTACAGCTTTCAGAGTTTAACTCAGTTGACCTAGATCCTCATAATCTCCTCGTCATCTTCTACATTTTGAAAACCATCTTATGCCAGTGACCTGTGGAATTCATCACTGAAGTAGAAGATAAGGTTATGTCACCAATAATGGTTCACTGGAAAAGGTTAGCTTTTAGGAGAGACTTAGTGACTGACTTCCATAATAGAGTGAGCAATGTTGGATGACTTGTACGTAGAAGAAATCCTAAATAGCTTATACAGGATTGGCTTGTCCTTCAAATCCTAAGGGTTAATGTTGTCAGCTATCTAAATTTGGTTCAGAAATATGCATAGTCATCTTCCGCCAGTAATATAAGCATATAAAAAACTGCTTCAAACAATTTTTACAACAAGTATTGCATGATTTAGCATCCCTCCTGTAAATAAATTAATCTAATAAAGAGTAAGCCTTGTTTTTATTCAGGGAGAAGGTAAATTTTGTTATAAAATGAGAGGTACCTTTTTTTATTAACACAGGAATATGGACCAATAAATGGAAAAATCTGCATGGTAACACTGAAACTATAGTAAAGCACGCATACAGGTGAAATAAATCTAATCACTTTGTTTAATCAAAATGTGAAATGTTTTCTACATCTCATGTACCCCATACATATATACACCTATTATGTAGCCATACAAATTTAAAATTTAAAAAACCAAAAGAATAAAAAAGAAATATTTTGGTTTTTGCTAAAGAATATTTAGAACTTGTAAATATGTTGTAATAACACTCTAGGAAGCTATCTTTCATTTACTCAGGAAACAGGTAAGTATGAGTGAAAAGAAAAATCTTGATACTCTCAAACATATAATTTATCTGGATTTGTTATCTAGTTGTGTGAAAAGGGAATAGTTACAAACTATTTCAATCCACAATGATGGTGAACATATTTGTAGTCTTCAGTACTTTAAAAAACCAATGCGTAAACATGTTTTAACACAAATTTTTTTTGAAATGAAAGCAATTGTGGTAAAAATGACATAATATAGAAATATATATCCACAATTCGTAAGGAGTAACAATAGAACAATGTTTTTCAAACTGCAGTACGTAAGCCATTAAGCATGCATGAAATAGATCTAATGGTATATGGCCAGATACTTGAGTTATTTTTTAGTGGTACCGTGTAGAATAAATACTAGAATATGTCAGAGGACATTACACATAGCAAGGTAAGAATCATTTAATAGAATCTCCACTTCAAATTATATTCATATAGAAATAGATATACTTTCATATATATAAATATATACATATATACTTTCATACACACACGTGTTAGCGTGTTTGTGTTCGCTAGATTCTAATATTAAATACATATATTTCTTTCTACAGGCCTTGGTCAAAAGTTTCAAGCTGTTTCAATAGTATAAAAATCCAGCCTTCATTACCAAACTAAAATCACATACTGTATTTTCCTTCAGAAAGTTGTCTTAAAACTCATTGATGCCAATTAGCTCTACAGGCAGATCACACTGCTTCTATAACCACTACAGAAGCATCACATGATCTACAAAAAAAAAAAAAATGTGAGGTGCTGGTATCACTCTGGGTTCCAAGCACAGTTCCCAGTTTACTCTAGTTTCCTCATGCTTTCTCTTTCACTTTTTCATTATAGTAAGGCATACACGATTTAAAAGTCTGGCTGATCTATAGGAAGCATTTCAGAATCATTTTACATAGGTTTTTGTATCTTCGTCTGCCTTGGTCAAATGTCATCAAAGCTTCTTTGATATATTGACCAGAAATTAATTTTAGAGAAGCACAATAGATTTACAGCCCCTATTTGCAAAGGCAATAAACTATGAGGTCCAGAGAAACAGTGATTAACAAGGTGGCTGCATATGGTAAGTGAAGGGCCAAAAGTGTTTGGTTTTGGTAGGCACTGGCTTGGAACAAGTAAAATAGAGACAATCTCAATGAACTTTTTGAACTTTTGAGTGTTAGAGAAAGAAGTAAATGCGTAAGTAAATTAACGAATAAGTTATTATAGTGGGAGAAAATGATTGTGGGGAGGGAATGAAATACCTTAGCACTACTCCCGAGATAGTGCTTTGAGGAAAAAAAAAATTAAAACATGTTCAGGTTTTGTTCTTATAAGCCATTAGAAGGAGACATCTGGCCTCCTTACCAAGACTTCCGTTCCTACCCCCCTGTAATAGAAATTGTACTCCTTCCTGCTGGCCCAGAATTGTAATCAGACCACCTTCATTTTATATAGACCCCAAGAGAGTACTAACAACTTCTGATTGCTGATAGCCTGGGAAGAATTCAAACCACTAATCCATTGTCTGTAAGTACTTTATTCTCATCCCAATGCAATAAACAATCTAATTCGCTAAAAGCTGACACATAATACCTAGTATGAAGAGAAGAACTTATGTTTAGTAGCAACCTGAGGAAAAATAAGTATATAAGATCAACAAAGAAGCATCAGTGTGGTTCATTGGAGATCTGGGACTGCATATCTGGATATAATATTGGATAAATTGAGAAAATTAGGGCAATCATGGATCAAAAGTTATAACACAGCATTTTTGTGCGTTGCAGAGACCCTTCAGGGAAACCCAGGCTCCGCAGCACATTCATTTATCAAAGGCATAATGACCCGATAACATTCTTCTGGAGACAGTGTGGAAACTATTTCCTTTTTAAAGGAAAGGCACCTGTGGAACTAATTAGGATGAAGTACTTCTTTCAGAGTATGCGCTATAATCCTGTTGAGTGAATGAAAGATTTACAAGACTGTAGTTCATAATGATAGAGAACTCAAATGACAGTTGATGGTGGTCTGTAGTAAGAAAACAAGATTTGGAGAGATTCAGACTAATATTCGCTGAAGTAGTCATGAGAAAAAAAATAGCAATTTTACCCAAGAATAATTTAAATAATGCAAGTCTTTCGAGTCCCAAGTTTAATTAACAAGTATGCCAAAGTGGAGTATCTCCAAAATGAACATCTTACTTATAGAAACATGGGAATGTTCTGAAAAAATGGGTTCCTCCAGGGAGTAAGCAAGGGACTTATAATAAGAGGGCACATTATTATTTTATACTGTTTAATTTTGTACTCATTGCTTTTTTATGCATATGCACATATTACTTTCTAAGTTATAAATAATATTTGCAAGGAAATAGTATTTCTCATTATAATCAAGAATATAAGATATTTAATCATTTTCTTCTTCATCCAAGATATAGAACATTGGTGGACACTGCTCAACTTTATGTGTATAAGTAAAAGCCTGTGTAAAGGAATGATTCTTGACAGTTGTTATCATTTCATTATCAGTTGAACAATAATCCATGAATTTAATAGCGCAGCCCAGCTGCCAAGGCTTATCATACCTATACATAACAGACAGAGGAAATATAGCGGAATATTAGAACTATAGCCTGGAAAAATTCAGAAACCTCAGATCTAGTGGAATATAATTTATGTGCATTTTTCTTTTTTGTTACTCCTATGAGAACGCCTCAGATTTTCTTCATTTAACCAATATATTTTTATTTAACAGCACTTCTCTAATAAACTTTTGTTCACTTAACAAATATATATTGCCCATCTCACACATTCCAGACAGTATTTTAGGGATTGGATGTACATCAGGGACCTCAACAGACAAAACATGACAATTAAAGTGATTATATAGATGGTTCACGGTACGGGAAAAATATACATACCTATCATATGTGATACAAAAATTAGTGCTGATTCAGAAAATCCCAAGTGCCAGGGGTTTCACTATTTCACAAAATAGAATGCAGTGGTGTATTTCTAAATGTCTGCATAAATCCAACCATAATGATACCTCCAGCCTATCAGTGTTATGCTGACATATTTGTTACATTGTATATATTTGAACTCCTTTCCATCAGGGCTTCATATCTTTGATCAATACCATTTGAATTTTTTAAAAATATACTTTAAGTTCTGGGATACATGAGCAGAACGTGGAGGTTTGTTACATAGGTATACACGTGCCATGGTGGTTTGCTGCACCTATCAACCCATCATCTACATTAGGTATTTCTCCTAATGCTATCCCTTCCCTAGCCCCCCACCCCCTGACAGGCCCCAGTGTGTGATGTTCCCCTCCCTGTGTCCATGTGTTCTCATTGTTCAACTCCCACTTATGAGTGAAAACATGTGGTGTTTGGTTTTCCGTTCCTGTGTTAGTTTGCTGAGAATGGTGGTTTCCAGCTTCATCCATATCCCTGCAAAGAACATGAACTCCTCCTTTTTTATGGTTGCATAGTATTCCACGGTGTATATGTGCCACATTTTCTTTATCCAGTCTATCATTGATGGGCATTTGTGTTGGTTCCCAAGTCTTTGCTATTGTGAACAGTGCTGCAATAAACATACATGTGCAAGTGTCTTTATATTAGAATGATTTATAATACTTTGGGTATATAGCCAGTAATGGGATGGATGGTGGGGCCATTACCCTCAGATTTTTAAAAAAACCAATCTGTTTATCAACCTAGCATAATCTACATTCTCTCCTGACAAAGCTTTAAAGAAAGTGTATTTCCACATACTTTGTTAAAGTTGTAAGTTTTCTGAAATGTACATTTTTTTCTATTTCTGCCTTTCTGGCTTCAATTCATCTTTGATAATAAAAACTTTACCGAGGGCCAGGCATGGTGGTTCATGCCTGTAATCCCAGCACTTTGGGAGGTCTAGGTGGGTGGATCACCTGAGGTCAGCGGTTTGAGACCACCCTGACCAACACGGTGAAACCCCATCTCTACTAGAAATACAAAATTAGCCGGGTGTGGTGGCACATGCCTGTAATCCCAGCTACTTGGGAGGTTGAGGCAGGAGAATCACTTGAATCTGGGAGGCAGAGGTTGCAGTGAGCCGAAATTGCGACTTTACACTCCAGCCTGGGCGACAAGAGTGAAACTCCATCTCAAACAAAACAAAACAAAACAAACAAAAAAAACAACCACACACACACACACACAAAACTTTGCAGAGTTATCAATGACCTCCTTATAGTTAAATATAATAGACAACTTTTATCTTTTATCATATATTGATCCATCAGTATCATTTCAAATTTTTGGTTATTTACACCCTACCTCTTGCAACAATTTCTCTTCCTGGTTTTTGTGATACCTCTCCCTCCCGTTCTTTCTAATTCTAGGGACTTCTTGGTCTCCCATGTCTTTAATGTTGAGGTTCCTTAGTTTTCTCTTCTGCGCCCTTTTCCTTTTCATCCTATAGTCTCTTTCTTGATTATAACATGAACTCTGTGATTTAATTTGCCACCTATGTACTGAAAATTCCAAATCTGTATATCTAGGCCAAATCTTTTTTTAACTTATTTTTTTCCTGGTCTTTCTTATAATGGTCTTTCTTTTCATTTCTATTTGGATATCCCACAGATCATTCAAACTCAATGTATCTCAAACTTGTCTCAAGGGATTTTTTTCAAATTAAATCCTTTCCTTGTAGTCTCATTTTCAGGGAATGGAACTGGTAGCCACTATACGGCTACATAGTTGCCCAAGCTAGAATTAGGGTGCTTATTGAGTCCTTTTCCCCATTCATGATAGCCAATCAATTACTAGAACCTACCTATTTTATGACATCTACTTTTCTCTGTCATGATTGCCACATCCTTATGTCTGAAATAAATGCATAGTCTTCTTTCTGCTTTCTCTGCTGCTCTCTATAAACCATTCTCCACACAGCAGCCAGAGTAATTCACACACACACACACACACACACACACACACACGTAATATAATCTTGGTACTTTACTACTTAAAATTAAATAAGGGCTTCCTTTTTTTTCTTTTTCTTTTTGGAAGAAGGCAATGTCTTTATGATGACTTGGCATGCTATTATGCCTTACCACCTTATTCCACTATTACCCGCAATTCAACATAATACTCCAAGCACTCAGAACATTCTGTTCCTCAATTATACCACATTTCTATCCATACTTCAGAATTTTCCATAGGAGTTTTCTCTGAAACATTCATCTTTAACCTCTTAGATGCCTGGCTTCTATATATCACTTAGATTTCATCTAAGATATTATTCCCACTAAGAAGTCTTCCCTGACTTCTATCACTGCACTCAAACCTTGGTTTACTGTCATTCACCTATGTTTCATAACAAATAACATTTTGTTGAACTTATCCTGTATTACAATTCTCTCTGTACTTGTCTCTAAGCTTCATGAGTGCAAAGATTGTGTCTGTTTCTATGCCATTTTATTTCTATCTTCTACTATACTGACTAGCACAGATTTAGAGTTCAATAAACAATTTAAATTGCACATATAAATAAAAGAATCATTATCAATCCTATAGAAGTTTTATTTTTAAAAATCCAAGGTTCTTTGGTTACTGTTACAAGAATTTCACTTATAATATCTGGCTTTATTCAAGCTCTTTTAGTCGTGTTTCAGAACACAATATTAGAATACGCTTGCTATCTTCTGATAAACTTTTCACTCAGTGGACACTGTCGGAATCATCAAAAATCCTCAAGACAATTACTCAAGAACTGTTTTACCCCAGTGTATATCCTCATAAGTATACATCAGGAGTTTATGTACTGCTTTAAAAAGGCAGAATAATGCTGGGAATGAAAGATTATCTTGAAAAAGCTAAAAGTTCTTTACTAAGTTATGTTAGGGAAGCCCGACATCCAAGTGATAGATTCATTAGCAATACATCCATTTTTGCTATTTTTACAGAACACTGTTAAGTGCTATGCTAATAGACAAAAGTAGAAAATCAGAACATATGTTGTGAAATTAGCTGGAAGCTATAAAAGCAACATTTCTGTAGGAAGATTTCTGGTTCAAAAACATAGTTTTCTTACATTATAGCATACAAGAAAAAATTCAATAATATGGTCCTGAAATCAAACAGAATTAAGCTACATCATATCCTCATCTGAGTTGTGCAAAGGCAGGGTAACAAAAGAGCTAGATAAAATGCTGTAAGTAAACACTGAGTTTTCTTCAATACATTCTGCTACACCACCTACTGTGAAATAAAAGTTGAAGACATGGAACCTGGACATGATGGGGTAGGAAAGTAAGAGGAAATACTCAGAACTCTAGACATCAGTCACATCAGCTACAACTATTTAGATAAAAGGATACGTTCTATAGTTACTGAGAATTGAAAAGACAATAGACATGTGGCACGTATTTTCAATCACTTTAGAGTATAAATGTCAACTATAGCAAAATCTTCTTTAAATATAAAAGACAACTGTATATAAACAATACCAGAGTTGGGAGATGAGACAGGGGTTAGAATGAAAGCCTCTAAAGAGAAGTCCTCATACTGTAAAATACCCCGCACACCACTTATACTAGGTTAAAAGAAACAAAACAAAACAAAAAACAGAAGTTTCTTTCCTAAATAAAATATAAGAAGAAAACTTAAACATCTCACATTATCAGTCCCCCAATATAAGGGTTAGCTTCTTGCCTGTTTACCATAAAGAGACTAATAATCAAATCTGTCTATATCTACAGCGCTTCTAGGAAATGTTTATTTACCTCACTTCTAACCATAAAAGGTGAGCAATGATTAGTGAATATTTGAGGAAATCAAGCAATGGGAATGAGGGGGAGGAAGCCTAAACTAGGCAAATAAAAAAGTTAACTTCCAAAGAGATGAAAACACCCTTTAAAGAACAGAATAAAACTTTTTAAAAGTCTCCCCTTGTATATTTAGAGAAGATCTGCAGAGTCTGCATACATAAAACAAAAAGAGGATTCAACAAAAATGGAGCCATACAAGAATAAGACAGGGCTCTTAGAAAGGGGAAATGAATTTTTTCAAAATCAAAATTCAATAGAAGAAATAAAGCTAAAATTTTATAAAATAATTTTAAAATAAACCAATTATATTAAAAATACAAAGTAAATAAGGGAAAACATTTAATGCAGGGGATCAAACAGAGAGGTCCCAGTAACTCATAAATCACAGTTTAAGTATGAGAGAATAAGGGGAGGGATGGATGTAGTAGAAAATTATCAAATAAATATTAGAAGATAATTTCCCTAAGTAAGGGATTTAACTTTTTGGTTGATAGGGTCCATCAAATGCCCAGCAAAAAGAATGAACAAAATCCACATCTACGTACACCTTGTAAAAATTAACATCAAGCTCAAAGGTGACATCACAAATATTTTTAAAGAGAAACAAATAGGTCACCGATGAAGTAAACAGGAATCAAACCAGATGCCAGCAACATTAGATGTATAAAAACAAATAAGACAAAACTTTTGAAGTAATGCACTACAAAAATAATTTCTATGTAAAGTGAAACTATCAGTTGAGTATGAGGACTGAATAAAGACATTTTTAGATAGGCAAAGAATCAGAAAGTTTACCACTTCTGTTTCCTTTCTTACTAAGTTAATCCCCCTACCTACAAATAATTATATCACTGTCTTCATTTCATCAACTGATACCTTTACAATTTCAAACAGCATAGCTAAACCTTCATTTTGAATTTCATGAATCATAGACAATATGCACTGAATCCCCATTTTATAGAATAAGAAATGATATTAATGTTCCTACCCTCTCTCTTCACCTTCTTTTTTGCACCACCCAAGTCACAAAGCCTTAAATATACCTTTATGTTTACATGGATTAGTTCCAAACTTTCAAATCTAATAAATGTTATTATTACAATAATGACACAAATATAATTTGTTGCAACCCTGAGTCATACACTAGGATTATATTTCATCCCCCATATACTTTGTAGCCCCATGCCTCTATAAGGAAAATACTTTTAGTGTCAATTTAGAATGAATTCTCCTTTTTAGCACTCTATAAATGCCTTTATAATGTTCTTTATTGTGTACAAGCTGTAAAACATTGTTTATATCTTATAGATTCCCTATATACTGTTTCCTAGAGTGTTCTGTCCACTGACCTCTAGGTCAGCAGTACAGCTATCATAGTGGGATGGCACGTCACTGTGCTTGTGTATTTATCATCCTTGATACATCCTGTTTTTTTACCCAAGTACATCTTCAATTAACTTCTTAAGAAACTGTGATTGTGGGAGAAAGGGTTGGGTGCCAAGAGCAGAGAAAAGGTTGATGGTGTGAATGAACTAAACCCTTCAGTGATATAGCAGGAATAGATACATAATATATAAGTTGATTTAGAAAAAAATGTGTCAACGTGTCATATTAAAATATGCACCAAAGGAGCTAAACACAGAAGCAGGAGTAGTTGTCACTAGGGAATAGTGTCTAAGAGGAGGGAGGAGTTTGACAACAAGAACACTTGCTTTTCAATAGAACTTGCAGTCAGTCATTAGCTCTGTTCACCAAACATTCCCTGTTCTCTGACCCCTGAGAACATGGCAGGGCTGCACTTCCTGGCCCTGCTTAAGATTTCATGGACCCATGAAAGGAGCCACTGCCAAAGACTTGTTACTGAAAATGACATGTGTCACTTCCAGGTGGAGGGTTTAAGAGCCAATGCATAATGCACAACCTTCTTTTTCTGAAGGCTAAGTTGTTGCATCTGGCCCCTCCTATGACCACAAAAGAGGCAAAACACATAGTGGGCCTCTTTGGATTTTGGAGTCAACATATTCCTCATTTGGATGTGTTACTCTGGCCCATTTACTGAGTGATGTGAAAAGCTGCTAGTTTTGAGTGGGGCCCAGCAAAAGAGAAGGCTCTGTAGCAGATCCAGGCAGCTGTGCAAGCTGCTCTGCCACATGAACCATATGACCTAGCATATTCAACAGTGCTTGAAGTGGCAGTGGCAGACAGGGATGCTGGTTGGAGCCTCTGAATGGTCCCTATAAGGGAATCTCAGCACAGGCCTTTAGGGTTTGGGAGTAAAGCCCTGCCATCCTCTGCAGATGACTACCCTTCTTCTGAGAAACAGCTCTGGGCCTGCTACTGGGCCTTCGTAGAAACTGAACACTTAACCAGAAGCCACCAAATTACCAAGTGGTCTGAGCTGCCCATCATAAACTGGGTCTTATCTAACCCAGTAAACCATTATAAAGTTGCCCTACTCAACAGCACTCTATCACTAAGATATATATACACACACACACACACACACGTATGTTATATATACATTTATAACATATATATAACATATATATAAGATATATATAACACATACATAACATATAATATATATAACATATATACATATATAACATATGTATATATGTATATATATGTATATATGTACATATATATGTGTTATATATGTACATGTATATGTTATATATGTACATATATGTATATATGTGCATATGTACATATATGTATATATGTGCATATGTACATATATGTATGTTATATATGTGCATATATACACATATGTTATATATGTATATATGTGTATATATAAATATATAATATATAACATACATATATTATATAACATATATAACATAACATATATGTTATATATATTATGTATATATTTTATATATACATATGTATATATACATATACATGTACATACATATACATATACATACATATACATGCATATGCGTATATACATATGTACATGTATGTATATACATGTACATATATATGTTATATATAACATATATAATATATAACATATATATGTTTTTTATATATATACACATATATATGATGGAGCCCAAACAGATCCTGAAAGCACAAGTGAGTTGCATAAAGAGGTGACCCAAATGTACATATCCCCACTCTTGCTACACTGCCTTCTTTCTCCCCACCAGCACCTATGGCCTAATGGAGACTTTCCTACTATCAGATGACAGAGGAAGAAAAGAGCTAGGTATGATTTACAGATGGTCTGCACAATAAGCAGGCACCACCCGAAAGTGGACAAATGTAGCACCACAGGACCTCTGTGGGACACCCTTGAAAGACAGCAGTGAAGGAAATCCTCCCAGTGGGCAGAACTTCAGACAGTTCATCTGATGTTCACTTTTCTTGTAAGGAGGTATGGTCAGATGTATGATTATATACTAACTCAGGGGCTGTGGCTGATGGTTTGTCCAGATGGTTAGGGACTTGGAAGAAACATGATTGGAAAATTGGTGACAAGGAAATTTGGGGAAGATGTGTGTGGATAGGATTTTCTGAATGAGCAAAAAAAAAAAAACCATGAAGATATTTGCTCCATGTAAATGTTCACCAAAGGGTGACCCTAGCAGAGGAATATTTTAATAATTACTGAATAGCATGACATATTCTGTGGATTCCAGACGGCTTCTTTCCGCAATTACCTAGGGTTGAAGGTTAGGCATGGGCTTCACATATGGACTTCTACTCACAAAGGCCAACTGGCTAGAGCCATCACTGATAGCCTAATCTCCCAGCAGCGGAGACCAGCTATGAGTCCCTGACATGACACCACTTCCTCCAGTGACCAGCCAGTTACCTAGTGGTAGGTTAAATGTATTACACTGCTTTCATTATGGAAGAGGCAGCATTTTGTCCTTATTGAAATATACATTTACCCTGGATTTAGATTTGCCTTCTCTGCGCATAACGTTTCTACCAAAGCTATCATCCAATGACTTACACAATGCCTTATTCACTGTTATGATATTCCATACAGCATTGTCCCTGCTCAAGGAACTCACTTCACAGCAAAAGAAGTGCAGCAGTGAGCCCATGCTCAAGGAATTCACTAGTTTTATATGTTTCCCACCACCCTGAAGCAGCTGGTTTCAGAGAATGGTGGAATGGTCTTCTAAAGATTTCGTTACAGTGACAGCTAGCTGGCAATACCTTGCAGGGATGGGGCAAGGTTCTCCAGAAGGCTGTATGCGGTCTGAATCAGCATCCAATATATGGTGCTGTTTCTCCCAGGATTCACGGGTCTGGGAATCAAGGGTGGAAACAGAAGTAGTACCAGTCACTATTACACCACTTACAACATTTTTGCTTCCTATTTCCACAGCTTTATCCTTTGCTGGCCTAGAAGTCTTAGTTTCAGGGAAAGAAATGCTTCCCCTAGGTGACACAACAATTATTCCATTGACCTGGAAGCTAATACTGCCACACAGCCACTTTGAACTCTTTATGCCTTTGAATCAACAGACAAAGAAGGGAGTTACTGTGCTAGTTGTGCTGACTGATCCTGGCTACCAAAGGAAAACTGGAGTGCAACTCCACAATGGAGGTAAGAAAGAGGATGTCTGGAACATAGGAGATCCTTTAGGGCATCTCTTGATATCACTATGTCCTGTGCATAAAGTCAATGAAAGAGTACACCAACTCAATCCAAGCAGCACTACAAATAGTCCAGACCCTTCAGGAATGAAAGTTTGAGTCACTCCACCAGTAAAGAACCACAGCTAGCTGAGGTGCTTGCTGAAGGCAAAGGGAATACAGAATGCATAGTAGAAGAAAGTAGCCATAAATACCAGCTACAACTATATAACCAGTTACAGAAACTAGGGTTGTAATTGTTATGAGTAGTTCTTCTTTATTTTATTATAAATATATTTACACACACACAAACACACACACACACACACACACACTAAGCAAATACCTTTTTTTCTTCCCTTCTTGTCATGTAACGTAAGATGTACTGACTTTATATCACAGTATTTAAGTTATGGAATGTCAAGGAGAAAAGTTAACATTACTCGAGGACTTTACCTCCTTGTCTATGGAAGGAATTAGCGTATTCTCTGTTTGTGTGCAGGAGACTTGTATAATAGTTGGAATTATAACCTAGTTATTGTTTTTATTTGGAGATTAAGTGTGACTTAAGGAGATACATATGGATGTCAAGTTGACAACACGTGGATTTGTGATCATTAATTTTATTTGTCAACCTGACTGAGCCATGAGGTGCCCAGACATTCTTTTGTGTGTGTCTTTGAGAGTGTTTCTGGGCGAGATTAACAGTGAACTGGTGGACTCAGTAACACAGATTACCTTCTCCAATGTATGTGGGTCTCATCCAATCCACTGTAGGCCCGAAGAGAACAAATGTTGAGTAAGGGAGAAGTCACTCTTTTTGCCTGCCTTCAAACTAGGACATTGGTCTTCTGTTGCTTTTGGACTCAGACTCAGACTGGAAATTACACCATTGGCTCTCGTTTCTCAGGCCTTTGGACTCAGATTATAACAACAGTTCTCCTGAGTCTCTAACTTGCTGGCTTCAGATGTTAGGACATGTCAGCCTCTATAATCATGTGAGCCAATTACTTATAATAAATTTATCTCTCCCTACGCACACACACACACACGCACACTCGTGCACACACATATCCCCTACTCTTGGCTTTGATTATCTGGAGAGTCCTGACTAATACATCATGAAAAGACAGCTAGCTATTATTCAACATTTTTATACAGAGTAAATCATTAAGTAATTAAAACCATTAAGATAAAGTAGGAATTACATTTTTGCTATGCTAGTTAATGTAAGGTATTGGTTCTCCAACTTCAGTGAGTTTGGAGTAGAGGCCATGTTGGCATGTTAACAAGTACATGAAGATACTCCAATTTAGATAGTCCTTAAACACAACTGAGAATACTGCCTTAATATCTTACTATTTACTCATCAAAACTGAAAAGATTATTTACTTTTTTTCCCCCAGGTATTGATGAGCAATTAACTCTCAGTGAACAAAGGTAAGGAAATGGAAGCTGGGAGCTGGGAATAAGTCAAAGAAAACGGAACATCACAATTAAAATAGAATTAAATCCTCATTAGCAAGGAAGATTAACCATCTCCAGAATAGACTGTGATTAAGAGGTAGCAGAACCTAAGAGTTATGCCTGATCACCTCTTGGAAGAACTCAGTAGCTGGTGAGACATCTGCTGGATCAATTGTCAGCTTCCCATCCTCACAGATACCAGAAGGGGAAGACAGGAATCATCAGAAAAGGATTCCCTAAGCCAGTCAAGTTTCCTAAGGCTCCCACCCACCCAAAAAGCACAATCCAAGAGGCAACTTGGTTTATACTTTCTAACCTCACAGGGGACCACTCCCTGATGCTGTGCTTTGCTGTGTAAAACTTCTGAGACTGAGGTTTCTCTTGTTTTATCACATGACTGCAAACGAGTTAATATGTCTCAGACAGTGAGACCTGACTTGATGACAGTGAATGTTTTCTCAGTTCTATCAAAATTCATCTGTGCATGCCCTTGCCTGTATTTAAATCATGTGCCTTATTTCGAAGCAAAAAATACTATGACCATTTGATCTTCTGTTTTTCCTACTTATTTTGACAACAGAAAACCAAAGGCTTGCAATGGTACTGAATAAACGATAATGAAATGTAAGCCAACTATTAAAAATGTATAAATCCATTATTAAAAGTGGGTCTTGTTCATCAAAAGTGAGTCAACATCTTATGGTCACTGTTTATACTAGTTTGATCCTCTCACTCTAGATGTGGTGTCTGATAATCTGAGCAGCCTAGATACAATTCTCCTTGCATTTTTTCCTCTTTTTTACATATTACTAAGGCTCAGAGCACTGTCTATAGTCCTGTCACTTATGATCTGATATCTGAATATAGTAGGGAATAATGTGGGTGTTTGGCTGAGAGACAGAATGCACGCTACTTAATAAGTGAGTTCTGCTACACTGCTGCATCACAAAGCAAAACTTATCACGTAGCCATGCAAAAAGGAATGTTGTATTTAATGCAGGATATTTTTCACAACATCAAAAGTGCCTTCATATGTTAACAAATTTCCTTGAGCAAACAGTTTTTTCCATATTAGGAACACTATATTTCATAGCTCATTGTCTTTCCACTTTACTTTGATGTAAAGAAGGTCAGCACCAAATTTGAAGTCTGTTCCAACTCACTGTCTTCTGATTTGTATCCTTGTGGACTAACCATATGCCTGAAATATCTGTTTTTTTCTACTCTTATTTCCCTTTACTCTATATTTTTAATCTATCCGTTTTCATTCTGTTAAATTGTATGTGTTTTTGAAACGGGCACTCTCAGCATGCCCTGTGATTGGGGGAGAGTGGTATTATTCTCTGTAAGTTATTAGTGCTTTTGTTCCCTTCAGTGTTTGCAAAGAACATAACAGCTGCTTACTAATAAAAGTAATGATAGTTAAGGAAATTTGAATTTATTTATTAATCAATTAAAAGCATGAATCAAGGCTTTATGTTGAATGTTGCAGGGGGTGGGGAGCTCCACCAGAGTTGGGCAGGTGTGAGGAAAGGAAATGTGGAAACTGATTTAAAAGTTAAGTTTTAGGTAGAAGCCAACTTGGATTTGAATCCTGGCTCTGCCACTTTGTATTGGTGTGGCCTTGGGTAATTACTGTCTTGGCCTTAATTTCCCACTTCTTTATGTCCTTTAGACATTTAAATTGAGATAAAGAAATTAGAAAACTTAGTAGGGAATAGGTTTGCCATTCATTTTAGTTGATTCTTACTATTATAGCTCCTGCCCTAGAAAGCATAAGATTTAGAGAGCAATAATTCTTGTATACAAGAGTATAGTTTAAGGGCATATGTAATAATTGCCATGAAACCGGCATAAGCAAAGTGCCATGGGGGGAAGAGAGACAGAAAGAAATGATTGAAGACAGAGACCCAGCTGGGGCCAGTTTGAAGAAAAGCCCCCAGTGATTTGAATGAAGGGCAACCTAATGAATTTGATAATATATAGTAAAGGTACATCAAGAATCCGAGTAGAAGGGCAAATTGAACATGATTTATAATTTCAAGATAAAGTGAAAACACTATTAAGAAATTAATGAGGACACTTATTTGCAAAAGAATCTATCTGAAAAGTAATATGTTGTTTATGTGGCCACCAATTAGGATATGAAATTACATTATAGTTCTTTTAAAATAGCTGTGGAATTAATATGTGCCAGAAGACTGTTAGACACATAATAAACCTACAAGGTAAGCATTATCCCCATTTTCCTGATCAGGAATAAGACTGAATAAGCTTAAGTACTTTAATTAAAGTCACTTAGCAAATGGTGCCATGAAGATGTTTTCTGGCTAAAAAGCCCATGTTCCAAAGCCTTTCTTTTCTTTTTTTGAGTCAGAGTCTCATTGTGTGACCCATGCTGGAGTGCAGTGGCACGATCACGGCTCACTGCAGCCTCCACCTCCTAGGCTCAAGCAATCTTCTCACCTCATCCTCCCAAGCAGCTGAGACTATAGGCGCGCATCACGAGGTCTGGTTAATTTTTGTGTTTTTAGTAGAGACTGGGTTTTGCCATGTTGGCCAGGCTGATCTTGAACTTCTGAGCTCGAGAGCTGCCTGCCTCGACCTCCCAAAGTGCTGGGATTATAGGCACGTGCCACCGAGCCCGGCCCCAAGACCTTTCTACATGATCAACCTTGCTTCTATACGTAATTGTATCTTAAGGATATTTTTTGATGATTGTGTCAAACATGTCGTTTGGTCATTCATTTTCATGGAGAGTGGGTCTGTCATACAGGATTTCACAACCTTTCTCTGAGAGAGCCATGGGAGAACTTCCATAAATAAGATTACGGGCTTTATTTTCCAGAAGAACCAAGTGATCCTAAGACCTGCCACATCTCAGAGAATGGGGAGTTGCCTGCATACTCATGGGGTAATAAATAACTCAATTATTTTCTGTGTTTTTCCAGTCATTACAGCTTATAACAGTGTTAATTGCTATGAAATCTCTGTTAAACTGGGCATGCATCTCTGTAGAATTCTGAAGAATTAAAAATTCTTTGAGAAAAATTATGAAGAAAACAATCTGTAAGTAAAGGGGATAAGTAAACACCTTCCAATGTTTGCTTTTTTAAATTTTCTAATACAGATTTAATTGAAGTATAACAGTTTTGTGTGAGTTATCCAATAATAACTAAGCTCTAATCAGAAACTGAAAATAATGTAAGGTTGTTCTAAAGATTAAATCTAATAATTACCATTATGCTAGAATAAATAATGGTATGATTGCCAAAATAGCATTTCTAAGTAACTACAGGAAAGGACCATGGGACTTATTCTGGTCAGTGAATCAAGAATACGCATGCAAAATTAATCAGCTGGAGGCCACAGCATTTCATTTTTAATGCAAGATCCCTAGAGTTCTCTTTCCCTCTATCCCACTGTTGGCAGTCTTTAGAATATGGTTGCTCCATCAACTTGGTTTCAGGAGTAAGGAGATATCGAGCAGAACTTTCAGCCAACCTGCAATAAACATGGAGTATCAGGGAGAATAAGTATTTGTACTTGTGAGTCACTAAGGTTTTGTGATTATGACTGTGGCATAACCTATACCAACAATGTCCAATACAAATAAAATGTGAGCCACATATGTAATTTTAAATTTTTAAGTGGCCAACCTTAGAAATAAAAAAGAAACAAATGTAACCAGTTACATTTCAAGTGTTCAGCAGCCACACATTACTAGTGACTACTCTATCGGACTTTGCTTATTATGATGAAACAGACAATTTATAGTATCTCCTTAATCATGAAGATTTCTTCAAGAAACACACATATACAAGTAAGACAAGTGGCTTAGAAATAGGAAGGAGTTGGTAAATTCTGGTTTGCTTTAAGACGACTATGGGTTATCCTAGTGGATATGTTCAATAGGCTATACGAAAATGCAAAATAAAGAAGGCATAGAACATTAGGAATATGAAGGTAATTACAATTATCCTTTACATTTCCAATCCTGGAAATAGCTATACCTTGAAATATCCACAATTTGCCCTAAGAGACCAAATAATATATATGGTTTTCTTTAACAGATGTATCTCAAAGAGATGGCATCAAATATCTACCATTCTCTAGGGTCCTGGAACTGAAAGATGTATATAGCAAATGAAGAGAGACTTTTAAACATATCTAAAGCAATCAAGAGTGAAAGAAAGACAAGAACAGAGTAAAAGCTCTGGGATTTTAACAAGAAATGATTATTAGTGACATTTGGAAGTATAGCTTTGGCGAATTCATGAGTTAAGAGGCCAAATTAAAGGAAATTCAAAGGAAATCTAGTGAAGAGGAAATTGAAGCAATGAGTGAAAGGCAATAGTAATAGTAGGAGTTGAAATGCACTTCTATAAAATAGAACTCCACTTTGGCTGAAGAGCCCGGGGAAACTTAATAAGAGAAAACAGCCATTTGTGGGTCTGTGTAAAGCTAATAATGAAATGCAGGATTTTACAAGGAGATGAGTGGCATGAGGGCAAAAAAGAGCAGAGGACTTAGAAAAGGATCAAATATCCTCCCTGGAGGCTTAAAAGAATCAAATGTAAGGTAGAGCTTTAGACTGGCTGCCAATCAAAGGTGAAATCTTTGATCTGTTGAGAATTACATGTTTAAATAATTGGTTAACTTAACTTTGAATATAAAGCATGAGATTTATAGGTAGTTGAAAGTTTAGCTGGAATAAAGAATATGAGAACTTGACTGACTAATAACATGATTTCCATAGAAGTGTGTGTGTGTGTGTGTGTGTGTGTATTTCACACAGGTAAAAACAAATACAATTTTTAAGAAAAATAAAAGTGAATAAAAATCAAGTTCATCATATGTGCTAGAAATAGCTTTCAAAAGGAATAAAAATCTAAATAGAAGTAAAGATTTTTTTCTAAAAATTGAATATCATAAAGGTTTCTTGTACTTTTAAACATCCTAGAGAATAAGCAATAATATAAAATTTTAAAAAATTGCAATGTCCATCACAGCACCATGTTATTTTGCTTATACACTATTTTTCTACATTTATACCAAACTTTAAAGTTCTTGAAAAATCAAGGTCTCCAAGTGCTATTCCTCTATATATTTTCACCAATTTTCTTGGCATCAAAGTATTTGAGGAAATAATAGCAATAAAAAGGCAAAATAAAACAGTTACCTAGATTTGTATGCTTAAACATAAAATTTATGGAGTGCATGTTAGTTTAAAGAAAAGTAAGTGTCACAATACACAGCCATAAATTTTTTCTAATAAAGTAATTGTATATTCTAAAAATGAAGAGCAGAGTAGGTCAAACACTAGCAAAAATGAAAGTGAGAATTTTAGAAGAAAGAACGATTTTAAAAGCTTCAGAAAATGGTAGAACTGGAAAATTATGTCAATTAAAGCAAAGCCCAAGAAAACCCAAAATACTTTTAAAAACTCATTTTAAAAAATGAGCATCGAACAGTAAAAATAATTTTAACTAAAGCAAAGAGCATTTAAATATAATTATAAACTAAATGACAAAAGAAAAATGATGAACTATAAAGAGCCTAGAAAGTAATTATTTAAACTCTGTTTTCAGAATTAAAACAAAAGAGCAGGCATTTGCTCAGCATCAAATCAGATTTTTTAGTAGAAAGGTGAAAAATTAAAGAACCATCAGATTAACACTTTAAATAACAACTCAATAATGTTTTCTCTGCTGATAGAAGACCAACGCCAACAGCTTTCAATAAAAAGTACTAAATTAAGTAAATATGATGAAAATTTTTAATTCACTCATATGGTTAAATATCTGTAAGTAATTTAACTAAACTCACCTCAGAAAATTACCCTCACGAATAGCTTTTATGTTTGAGGGTGATATCTACTACTTTCCAACAGAAAATATCTCTCCCCTAGGTGAGTTTAACTTCTGTTTCATTCATCCACACCCTCTCTCTTCCAGGACGACAACACATAGAACTCATCAGTGTCCTTTATTCCTTCCTCTCATTGACCAAATGGGGATCATAATACCTACCTCAGAGTCACAGTGGGAATGAAAACAAGGCTGGTGCAACTAGGCACACAGAAAGTGCCCCATAAGGTCGGGCATGGTGGCTCACGCCTGTAATCCCAGCACTTTGGGAGGCCGAGACAGCAGGATCACTTGAGGTCAGGAGTTCAAAACTAGCCTGGCCAACATGGTGAAACCTTGTCTCTACTAAAAATACAAAAATTAGCCAGGCATGTTGGTGTGTAACTGTACCAGCTACTCAGGAGACTGAGGCAGGATAATTGCTTGAACCCAGGAGGCGGGGGTTGCAGTAAGCTGAGATCGCGCCACTGCACTCCAGCCTGGGTGACAGAGTAAGACTCTATCTAAAAAAAAAAGGAAAAGAAAGTGTTCCATAAGTTAGGAACATGGGAGTTGGGGAATTACCTAGTCCATTTCTACACCACTGACACCTGACCACTCCACCCAGGGCTAGAGGCCGGTCAACCCAACCAGCCAACTCCACCACAGCTAATACCCAGCCTCACGCACATCCTGAAAGGTATCCTCCCCTTCTCTACACAAAGTAGCAACATTACTGCATTGACGAACAGGTTAGCCACAAAGCCGTCTTTATTGGGTGGAACAAAGAGGTTCCACCCCAAAACCGTTCCTACTGAGAGCTGAGGGTCAGGCATTTCCCACGGCATTCAGCTGCACTGTGGCCTAGAGATAGATGGACAAATGGTGTGGATCTGAACTAAGAGTCACAAGCCCCCAGGACAGGGGTGTGATAAACAGATCAAGTTCTTGCCGATCTAGGGCATGCAGCTGGTGCAGCCTCTTCAACCCCAGCAAAGATCTCAGTGCATTTAACCAGGAGCCCCCACTGTCACCCCCTTAAGTCTGGTGCTTGTGCTCTTCATTGGAGTATTCATGGGCAAGCCAGGTGGCCCAGATCTGCCCATCTTTGTCCCCCCTTCACCCCGAACAGGGCTGCCCAGCCCATCACATGAAACAACAGAGAGCACCTCACAGTAAACAAGTGTCAAGTACGTACTCACCTGCTTTTGCGCTGCTGGCTCTTACCCGGAAGTGCCACCTACTGGCCGGTAGGTCAAACCACACAATGCAATATAAAACCTGCCAACAGAAGTGCACAGGACCATAGAAGCAAAGCCAAAAGGCCCCTACCTAACATACTGTACAGTCACATCCTCAAGGTGGGGTGGGAAATAAATAAAATAAAGATAGATTTTTAAAGTTCCATCCAAACAAAAGTAACTTCAAAAGCAAGAAGTGTCAGCTTCCCTAGATGATAAGGATCCAGCATAAGAATTCTGGTACCATGTAAAATCTGAATGCTGTGAAACCATCAAAGGATCACACTAGCTCTCTAGCAATGGACCCTAACCAAAATGAAAATTCGGAAATTACATAAAAATTCAAAGTATAGATTGTAAGAAAATTCAATGAGATCAAAGAAAAGGTTGAAAACCAACACACAGAAACCCTAAAAGCAACCCAGGAAATGAAGGAAGAGATAGATGTCTTAAAAACAAAAACAAACAGAACGTTTGGAAATGAAAAATCCACTTAAATGAGTTCAAAATACAGTTGAAAGCTTTAAGAGTAGACTAGACCAAGCAGAAGAAATCATTTCAGAGCTCGAAGATTGGTCTTTCAAATTAACCCAGTTAGACAAAAGTAAAGAGAAAATATGTTTTAAAAAATAAACAAAGCCTTGGAGAAATATGGAATTATGTGAAGTGACCAAACCTATGAATTATAGTTACTCCTGAGAGAGAAGAAGAAAAACTAAGAAATGTGGAAAACATATTTGAAGGAATAATGCAGGAAAATTTCCTTGATCTTGCTAGAGATGCAGAAATTCAGATACAATAAACTGAGAAAACAACTGGATGTTACTATACTAGATGAATATCATCAAGGCATATAGTTATAAAGCTATGCAAGGTCAATGTAAAATAACAAATTCTAAAAGCAGCTAGAGAGAAACATCAAATCCCCTATAAAAGGAATCTCATCAGACTGCAAACATCTCAGCCAGAAGACATTGAGACCTATTTTTAGCCTCCTTAAAGAAAAAATTTTGTCAGTCAAGAGTTTTATACCCTGCCAGACTAAGCTTCATAAATGAAAGGGAAATAAAGTCATTTCCAGACAAGCAAACACTAAGAGAATTCATCACCACTACACTGAACCTACAAGATATGCTCAAAGGTGTTCTAAACATGGAAATGAAAGGACAATACTCATCGTCATAAAAGGACATGTTAAGTACAAAGCTCATAGAAGACCCTATAAAGCAATTACACAATTGAGACTTCAAAGCAACTAGCTAACAACACTATTATAGGAATAAAACCTTGCATATCAATATTAACCTTGAACACAAATGACCTAAATGCTCTACTTAAAAGATGGAGTGGTAAATTGGATTTAAAAAAACTAAAGCAACATCAACACCAACAAAAACAAGACCCAACCATCTGCTGCCTTCAAGAGATTCACCTAATGCCTAAAGACACCTACAGATTCAAAATAAAGGAAACTACCCATGTAACAGAGGGTTAATAACCAGAATATATAAGGAGCTCAAACAACTCTATAGGAAAAGAAATCTAATAATATAATTTAAAAATGGGGACAGGCACAGTGGCTCACGCCTGTAATCCCAGCACTTTGGGAGGCCGAGGCGGGCAGATCACGAGGTCAGGAGATCGAGACTATCCTGGCTAACATGGTGAAACTTTGCCTCTACTAAAAATACAAAAAATTAGCCGGGCGTGGTGGCGGGCGCCTGTAGTCCCAGCTACTTGGGAGGCTGAGGCAGGAGAATGGTGTGAACCCGGGAGGTGGAGCTTGCAGTGAGCTGAGATAGTGCCACTGCACTCCAGCCTGGGTGAAAGAGCGAGACTCCGTCTCAAAAAAAAAGAAAAAAAGAAAAATGGACAAAAATTCTGAATAGGTATTTCTCAAATGAAGACATACAAATGGCAAACAATTATATTTAAAGGTACTCAATATCACTGATCATCAGAGAAATGCAAATCAAAACTATGATGAGATACTTTTTCACCTCAGTTAGAGTGGCTTTTATCCAAAAATCAGGCAATTACAAATGCTGGCATGGATATGGAGAAAAGGGAACCCTCATACACTGTTGCTGTCAAGGTTCTCCACTGTGGAGAAAGGTGTAGAGGTTCCTCAAGAAACTAAAAATAGAACTAGGTATATACTCTAAGGAAAAACAATCAGCATATCCAACAGATATCTGCATTCCCATGTTTATTGCAGCACTATTCACAATAGCCAAGATTTAGAAGCAACCTAAGTGTCCATTAGGAGATGAATGGATAAAGAAAGTGTGGTACATATACACAATGGAATACAATTCAGCCATAAAAACGAATGAGATCCTGACATTTGCAACAGTATAGATGGAAGTGGAAGTCATTATGTTAAGTGAAATAAGCCAGGTACAGAAAAACAAACTTTGCATGTTCTCACTTATTTGTGAGAGCTAAAAATTAAAATAATTGAACTCATGAAGACAGAGTAGAAGGATGGTTAGCAGAGGCTGGAAAGGGTAGTGGGGAAAGCGGGCATATTTAATAGGTACAAAAAATTGTTAGAAAGTGTGAATAAGACCTAATATTTTCTAACATAGCGGGTGACAACAGTCAAAAATACTTTAATTGTACATTTAAAAATCACTAAAAGAGTATAATTGGATTGTTTGTAACACAAAGGATAAATGCTTGAAGCAATAGATACCCCATTTACTCTGATGTGATTATTATGCATTGGATGCCTATATCAAAATATCTCATGAAACCCATAAATATGTACACCTAATATGTACCCACAACAATTTAAACATTTTAAAAAATACAAAGGGATAGAAAAAGATATATCACACAAATGGAAATTTAAAAATTAAAAAATGAAGAGCAGTAGCCATTCTTATATCAAACAAAACAGATGTTAAGCCAACAACAGTTAAAAAAAAAGACAAGGAAAGGCATTATATAATGATACAGCACTCAATGCAACAAGATTTAACTATAAATATATATATTCCCAACGTAGGAGTACCGAGGTTTACAAACCAAATACTACTAGACCTAAGAAAACAGACTGAAAGCAATTCAATAATACAGAAGTAGGGACTTCAACACCCCACTGACAACAGTACACAGACCCATAGATACTAAATATCTACGGATCTAATAGATATTTACAGAACATTCTCCCCAACAACAACAGAATATACATTTTGCTCATTTGTGCATGGTACATTTTCCAAAATTGAGCATATTTTTGGCCATAAAGAAAATCTCAATAAATTCAAAAAAATAAAAATCATATCAACTATTTTCTTGGACCATGGTGGAATAAAATTAGAAATGAATACCAGAAAGGAACTCTGAAAACTACTCAAGTACAAGAAAACTAAGTAACCTGCTCCTGAATGACTTTTGGGTAAACAACACAAGTAAGACAGAAATCAAAAAACATTTTTGAAATGAATGAAAATAGAGACACAACATACCAAAACCTCTGGGATACAGCAAAAGCAGTGATAAGAGAAAAGCTTATAGCATTAAATGCCTACATCAGAAAGATAGAAAGATCTCAAATTAACAGCCTAATGTTGCAACTCAAGGAACTAGAAAAACAAGAATAATTCAAACCCAAAGCTAGCAGAAGAAAAGAAATAACAAGGATCAGAGCACAATTAAATGAGACTGAAAATTAAAAAAGATATAAAAGATCAATGAAACAAAAAGTTTGTTCTTAGAAAGGATAAATTTCTATGTTAACCAAGAAAAAAAGAAGATTCAAATGAGTACATATCAGAAATGATAAAAGTGACATTACAACTCATACCACAGATATACAAAGATCATCAAGGAATACTATGAATGTCTCCATGTGCACAAACTAGAAAACCTAGAGGAAATGGATAAATTCCTGGAAACATAAAACCTCCCAAGATTAAAGAAGAAAAAAATAGAAATCCTGAATAGATCAGTAATGTGTCACAAAATCAAATCAGTAATAAAACATCTTCCAACAACAACAACAACAACAACAACAACAACAAAAAACCCACCCAGGACCAGACAGATTCACAGCCAAACTCTACCAGACATAAAAGGAGCTGGTACCAATTTTACTGAAACTATTTCAAAAACTCAAGAAAGAATAATTCCTCTCTAACTAAAAACCTGAGGAAGAAGTATTCCTCCTATAACTAGTCTATAAAACCAGCAACCCTCTGATCAGGTAAGAACACAACAGCAACAAAAAACTGTAGGACAATATCCCTGATGAAAAGACAAGCAAAATCCTCAACAAAATACTAGCAAACTGAATCCAACAGTACACCAAAAAGATAATTCATCATGATTGGGGGCAGGGGTTTTTATTACAGGAATGCAAGGATGGTTCACATATGCA
Organism: Homo sapiens; assembly: GCF_000001405.40. Taxonomy (NCBI): domain Eukaryota; kingdom Metazoa; phylum Chordata; class Mammalia; order Primates; family Hominidae; genus Homo; species Homo sapiens. The sequence goes on along the minus strand of NC_000003.12, from coordinate 173,524,874 downwards.
AATCAATAAATGTGATCCATCACATAAACACAATTAAAAACCAAAACTATATAATCATCTCAATAGATGCAGAAAAAGCATTTAATAAAATCCAGCATCTCTTCATGATAAAAACCCACAACAAACTAGGCACTGAAGAAACATACTTCAAAACAGTAAGAACCATATATGAAAAACCCACAACCAACATCATAATGAATGGGCAAAAACTCAAAGCATTCTTCCTAAGAACTGAAATAAGACAAGAATATTCACTCTCACCACTACTATTCAACACAGTACAAGGAGTGCTAGCCAGAGCAAACAGGCAAGAGAAAGAAATAAAAGACATCCTGATTAGAAAAGAGAAGCCAAGTAATCTCTGTTTGCTGATAACATGATTGTATACACGGACAACCCTTAAGATTCGTCCGCAAAACTCCTAGACTTGATAAATGACTTCATTAAAGTTTCAGGATACAAAATCTATGTACAAGAATCAGTAGCATTTCTACACAACAATAATGTCCAGGCTGAGAGTCAAATCAAGAACACAATCCCATTTACAACAGGCACAAAGAAAATAAAATATCTAGGAATATAGCTAACCAAGGAGGTGAATCATCTCTATAAGGAAAACTACAAAAGGCTAATGAAAGAAATTATATGAGGCCGGGCACAGTGGCTCACACCTGTAATCCCAGCACTTTGGGAGGCTGAGGCGGGCAGATCACGAGGTCAGGAGATCGAGACCATCCTGGCTAACATGGTGAAACCCCGTGTCTACTAAACATACAAAAAAAAAAAATTAGCTGAGCGTGGTGGCGGGTGCCTGTAGTCCCAGCTACTCGGGAGGCTAAGGCAGGAGAATGGCATGAACTTGGGAGGCAGAGCTTGCAGTGAGCCGAGATCGTGCCACTGCACTCCAGCCTGGGTGACAGAGAGTGACTCTGTCTCAAAAAAAAAAAAAAAAGGAAAGAAAGAAATTATATGAGAAAACATCTCATGCTCATGGATGGGAAGAATCAATAGTGTTAAAATGACCATACTCTCCAAAGCAATCTACAGATTAAATGCAATTCCTATCAAATGGTCAATGCCATTTTTCACAGAATTATAAAAAGCAATCAAAAATTTCATATGTAATCAAAAAAGAGCCTAAATAGCTAAAGCAATACTAAACAATAAGAAAAAATCTGGAGGCATCACATTACCTGACTTCAAATTATAGTATAAGGCTATAGTAACTAAAACAGCGTGGTATTGGTACAAAAATGGACACACAGACCAACGGAACAGAATAGAGAACCCAGAAATAAAGCCACATATCTATAACCCACTAATCTTTGACAAAGTTGACAAAAATAAACAATGGGAAAAGGATATCTTATTCAACAAATGGTGATCGGAAAACTGGCTAGCCATATGCAAAAGAATAAAATTGGATCCTTATCTCTCATCATATACAAAAATTAACTCAAGATGGATAAAATATTTAAACATAATACCTGAAACTATAAAATTTCTAGAAGAAAAGCTCGGAAAACTCTTCTGGATATGGGCCTATGCAAAAAGAGTATGATGAAGATCCCAAAGGCAAATGCAACAAAAACAAAAATAGACAAATGATATTTAATTATACTAAAAAGCTTCTGCACAGAAAAATAAATATTCGACACAGTGAACAGACAATGTGCAGAGTGAGGGAAAATATTTTTATATTATGCATTTATAAGGAATTCAAACATCTCAATAACAACAACAAAAACAAATAACCTCATTTTTTAGAATGTGGGCAAAGGACATGAAGAGACATTTTTCAAAAGAAGACATACAACTGTCCAACATGCATATAAAAAATGCTCAATATAACTAATCATTAGAGAAATGCAAATTAAAACCACAAGGTGATATAACCCTACACCAATAAGAATGGCTATTACTACAAAGTCAAAAAACAACAAAGATGTTGGCATGGATGAGGAGAAAACAGAACACTTATACTCTGTTAGTGAGAATGTAAATATAGTTAAACCCATATGAAAAACTGTAGGGAGAGCTCTCAAAGGACTAAAATCAGAACTGCCATTCAACCCAGAAATCCCACTACTGCGTATCTACCCAAAGGAAAAGAAATAATTGTATTTAAAAAATAACAACAATGGCCAGGCAGGGTGGCTCACACCTGTAATCGCAGCACTTTGGGAGGCCAAGGTGGGTGGATCACTAGGTCAGGAGATCGAGACCATCCTGGCTAACATGGTGAAACCCCGTCTCTACTAAAAATACAAAAAAAAATTAGCTGGGCGTAGTGGCGGGCACCTGTAGTTCCAGCTACTTGGGAGCCTGAGGCAGGAGAATGGCGTGAACCTGGGAGGCAGAGCTTGCAGTGAGCCAAGATCATGCCATTGCACTCCAGCCTGGGCGACTGAGCAAGACTCTGTCTCAAAACAACAACAACAACACCTGTATGCATATGTTCATTGCAGCACTATTTGCAAGAGTAAAGTGATCCAATCTAAGTATCTAAGTGTCCATCAGTGGTGGACTGGATAAACAAAATGTGGTATGGATACACCATGGAATACTGTGTAGCCATAAAAAAGAATGAAACAGTGTCATTTGCAGTGACATGAACGGGGCCAGAGGCCATTATCCTACGTGAAATAACTCATAGACAAAAGAATCAATGTATAACGCATGTTCTCATCTACAAGTGGGAGGTAAACAATGGGTACATATGGACATAGAAGTGGAAACAGTAGACACTGGGGACTTCAAAAGATAAGGAGCTTGGAAGGTGTGCAGAGAGTTGAAAATTACCTGTCGGACACAATGTTCATTCTTTCTGTGACAGTTAGGCTATAGTGGTGGGGATTGGGCTTCTAGTGTAACTAGTAATTACCCACTACTATGGTTATAACCTGAACATGTAACCCCTGAATATAAAATGTAATTTAATTTAAGAAAATGCATAGAATGTATTGAAAAACAAGTAGAATTTATTGTGTTCTTCCAAATAAAACATGTTTAAAATTTTAAAAAATCTGAACCCAAATCCTGCTGTCATTAGAAGCTCTGTGACTGTTCTTAATGCTGTAGAATATACCTCATAGTATTAACTGTGAAGATTAAACGAGTATGTAAAGTGTTTAGAACAATGTCAAGCAAATAATAAATGCTACAGGAGTATTTTCATTATTATTATTACTAGGCTCAGAGCTCCTAATCAGCCTGGGAGGTTCTGGAAGTAACAGTGTTAATAAATAAAAGGTCAAACTTTCTATGGGAGCAGATATAACTAGGAGGATCAGAAAAAAGGCTCAGAATTTGTGATCTGAAAAATTAGTGAAAAACAAGGCACCAGGCCATAAGTACAGTGCTGATTCTAGGCTTTACTACTCTCTTTTTGAATCACTGCCTCATTTGGGTGTTCAATACTTTTAGGCATATATTGTCTACAAGGAGAACCATGGTTTTAACAAGTAAAGTTTGTAGGGATAGAAGGCTAGCACCTCTATGGAGATCTTACACACTTCTCCATGTGATCTGTGGCTTCACCAAAGTCTCAAATATCTTCATTCTAATCCTGGCTCTGTCATTCACCAGCTTTTGACTTGAACAAATTATACAGTGTATCTAACCCTTCACTTATGAAATACCAATGTCTCAGGATTTCTGTGAATTAGAGGATATTATATGTATGTTGTCTGCCATGCATTCAGCAGCAGGTTATTAAATACTAGATATACAGTCTCCCTATCTGAATTATTTCTTGCATCTTATACCAGCAGAATGTGTTTATTCTTAATGCCTCTCTTCACATAGTATAGCAATTTTACTCCTGTCTGTGATAAATGCCCATAATGCCTTACAAACTCCTTAGACTCTTGCACACACACTGAACACTATCCAGCCTTATTATGCCTGCTAACTTCAATTGCCATCTCACTATTTCACCTCTCATGCTAAAGAAGGATGCTGCCAACCGAGGTGGCCACAAAAATGAGATTAGTCCTAAGTTTCTTTTCATCTATTGTATTCAATAATTCTAGTTATAAAAGTAGCTCTCTAAAAATATGCTTTAAATTCAAATTGGCTCTTCTTTTACTATCTGGGTTACCTAAAACCATCTCTTCTGTTTGTTTGTTCCTTAACAAACTCCACCCAGTTGTTTCTCCAAAAACTAAGTTTTTAGTCTCCAAGCCAGATTATATGTCACTACCTGTTATGCATCCTGCAACTCCCTCAAACATTCTAGGTTATGCTGGCCCCTGATTTTTCATGGTCCTATTACTACAAAAGCTTTGACCACACTACATTATGATTTGTTGAATATATTTCTGACTCACTCAGCTGTGTGCTTTTGAAGACAGAAATAATGCCCTTTCCATATTCTCAGCCCCAGCATTAACTCAGTACTTGTTTTCTAGTGTGGGCTTTACAAATGCTAGGTGACTAAATGGATTATCACTCCTTTTATTTCAGTGAAATGACAAAGGTTATCAATATCAAGTCCCTATATTTGTTCATTCTCATCTCAACAAAATTTTGCATCTACTCCTGTTATATTGGACTAAGTACAAATAGAATCCAGCAGCATGTTACAAGACTGTATTAATCCATTCTTGCATTGCTATAAAGAAATACCTGAGAATGGGTAATTTGTAAAGAGGTTTAATTGGCTCATGGATCTGCAGGCTGTATAGGAAGCATAGCAGCTCCTGCTTCTGTGGAGGCTTCAGGAAACTTACATTCATGGCAGAAGGCAAAGGGGAAGCAGGCACATTTTACATGGCCAAAGCAGGAGAAGAGAGAGAGGAGGAAGGTGCTACACACTTTTAAACAACCAATCCTCACAAGAACTCAGTATCACGAGAACAGCACCAAGAGGATGACGCTAAACCATTCATGATAACTCCGTCCCATGATTCTACCAGGTCCCACCTCCAACACTTCAGACTACAATTTGGCATGAGATTTGGTGGGGATACAGATACAAATCATATCATCCCACCCTTGGCCCCTCCAAATATCATGTCCTCACACTGCAAAATACAATCATCCCTTCTCAACAGTCCCCAAAAGTCTTGACTCATTCCAACATTTACTCAAAAGTCCAAAGTCCAAACTCTCATCTGAGATAAGGAAAGTCACTTAAAAGGGTGTAAAATAAAAAAAAAAAAAATAGTTACCTCCAATATACAATGGGGATATAGGCATTCAGTAAATAATCCATTCCAAAAGAGAGAAATTGGCAAAAAGAAAAGGCCTACAGGCCCCACACAAGTTCAAAACCCAGCAGGACAGTCATTAAATATTAAATAGAAAGCTCCAAAATAATCTTTGTCTCCATGTCCCACATCCAGGGCACACTTGTGCAAGGGGTGTGTTTCCAAAGCCTTGGACAGCTCTGCCTCTGTGGCTTTCCAGGGTTCAGTCCCCACAGCTGCTCTCAAGGGCTAGTGTTCAGGGCCTGCAGCTTTTCTAGGTTCATGGTGCAAGCTGCCGGTAGATCTACCATTCTGGAGTATGGAGGATAGTGGCCCTCTTATCACAGCTCCCTTAGGCAGTGTCCCAATGGGGACTCTCTGTGGAGGCTCCCACCCCACATTTCCCCACCATGCTGCCCTAGTAGAGGTTCTCCATGAGGGCCCTACCCCTGCAGCAGCTTTCTGACTGGACATTCCAGCTTTTCCATACATAGTATAGTAATCTAGGCTGAGGCTTCCAAGACTCAACTATTGGACTCTGCACACATGCAGGCTTATCACCATGTGAAAGCTGCAAAGACTTATAGTTTGCACCCTCTGAAGCAGTGACCTGAGCTGTAGCTGGGCCCCTTTCAGCCATGGCTGGAGTTCAAGCTTCTGGGATGAAGGGAGCAGTGTTCTGAGGCTGTGCAGGACAGCAGGGCCCTGGACACAGCCAACAAGATCATTATATCCTTCTAGACCTCTCTGGGCCTGTAAAGAGGGGCTGCTGTGAAGGTCACTGAAATGCCATCGAGGCCTTTCCCCCATTGTGTAAGCATTTGCCTTCCTTTTAGTTATGCGAATTTCTGCAGCCAGCTTGAATTTCTCCCCTGAAAATGGATTTTTCTTTTCTACCACGTAGCTGGGCTGCACATTTTTCAAAGTTTTACACTCTGCTTCCTCTTTAAATATAAGTTCCAGTTTTATGTTATTTCTTTGCTCACACATATGAGCATAGGTTGTTAGAAGCAGGAAACAAAAGATTCTCAAAAGCAGGAGGAAAAACTCCATGAACAAAGTCAGAAAATAAGAGATAAATGAGGGAAATATCTGCAACTCATATCTCACACACACCACACACACACACATGCATGCACACACACACACACATACACATACTCATATATATATAATACATGCATACATATATACTTTATAATATATAAGTATATATAACTATAACTATGTATACACATACCTACATATAATTAGTTACAGTAAATGTAACTATATATGTATATACATATAAATATCTATAACTCTGTATAATTTGGAAACAGCTCATCAAAAAATCCCTAGCTCACTAGAAAAATAATGAGCAAAGCATGTGAACTGTTTACCAAAAAGAAAAAAAAAAGTCAACATATGGCTTTTAATCTTAGGAAAAAAATGTATCTTTCTTATATTAGCACAAATGCAAATGCAAATGAAAATAAGATACTTTTTAACCAATCAGTTTGGCAAAAAGAAATTTGTCTGGTAACACACTGCACTGATATCATTGCCTGAAGGCAGTTGAAGATCTAGCTGGTAGGAACGTGACCAGTAGTACAGTTTCTGATGAGACAACTTAGTAAAACCTTTCAAAATTAAAAACAGATACACCCTTTGATCTAATTTCTCATTTAAAGGCTTTTCTCATGTGTACAAAAGGATGGTTGTATGAGAATATACATTGTAGTGATATCTTTTATGTCACAGGTTTGAACAGTCTAGTTGTCCACTAGTGTAGAGCAGATTAAATAAAATATAACACATCTATATATTGGAACTTCATGAAGGTTTAGAAAATAGGGCATGCTATATTACCACCATGGAGATAGATGACAGATAGATATGATAGATAGATAGATAGATAGATAGATAGATAGATAGATAGATAGATAGATAAATTTGCGAAAGCAAAGTGCAGAAAAGTGCATTATGCTGCTGACTGTATAAAATGTTTTAAAGAATCACATACATATAAACATAGATGTTGAGAATACATAGACTGTATATGGAAGGATGAAAAGAAAACTAATCACAGGAATTGTCCCCAGGATGGGGAAAAGCATGACTGGGTGACAGAGGACACAATACTCTATATATACTTATATTGTGAAATATAGTGAAATATATATATATTAGTCCATTGTATGTTTTGAATAAATAATTTTATCAATGAGTAGTGGGTACAGAATTCATACTGTCTTTGGTTGAGGAGTAAGAGAGAGTACTGAGATTCAGAAGACAGAGTGAGAGATATTTTGCAAGAAGTTTTCTGAGAGTGAGGGAAGTGAAAAATAATAGTAGCTATGAATAAACTTCCACAATGAGTGGTCTGTGTTTGCCCTTCTTTGTTCTGCAACTAATTCCTCCATGCATCTTCTATTCTAACACTGAATTCCCTTCTCATTACTTCATTTAAGGGCCATGAGAAACTCATACTGGAAGAGATAGATAGTGAACACAAGGAATTATAAAACAATGTGCATATATCCCTCTTTGAACAACTTGATGCGTGTCAAAAATTCACTAACAGAAACTAGAAGAAGCTTTTATGAGAACATAACAAATGACTGATGAGGATAATTACATTAACAAATTATTAATTGCCTACTAAGTGGCAGATCTAATACTTAAAGATATATGAATAGAATGGTAATACATTAAGTACAGAGTGATGATAGTAAGATAATATGTATATAAATAGAATCAGTCTTTTGAATCCTTAATATAATTCTATGAAGTAGATAAAGCTAATCAATTTGTATTATTCATATTACTACCAAATTATTGAAGTCAGGTTTTATACTCAGTAATTTATTGGCTCAAAATCATGGTCTTCTGCTAATACTCTTTCACTTCCTAAGCCCTATTGGTGTCAGAATGATGGGAAGCAATATGTCTGATAGAGAATACCATGAAAATACTGTATGAAGAACATACATAAAGTTGATCAGCTAGGCAGATTTCTTGAATGTGATGTTGAGAAACCTGGACTTTGTTTTCTAGGCAATGATGAGCCACTGAAGGGTTTTAGAGGGGGCAATAGATATAGCAATGCTTACAATATAGAAAGATAATTATTGGCATCTATGTCAAAGATAGAAGAGACTGGAGGTGGAAGGAAAAGTTGGAAGGTGATTTCAACAGTTTGGGTGAGAGTTCAAGAGGAGTGATATACCATTAGCTGATACAAAAAGTTCAGGAAGAGGAGTATATTGTAGGAGAAGCATGAATTCTGTTTTTATCACCTGGAATTTGATAAATCTCTGGCTATCTAGATGGAGATATGAAGACAGTATATGAAAAGGTGGAGCTAGAACTCAAGAGAGTTGTATGGATTAGACATATTGATTTCAGTATATTCAATAAAAAGGAATTAGAGAATGCAATACATAATAGTAAGTTAGAATATCCAAACTCTTACCCTTGTATTATTCCTTCTATTTTAATATTATGTGCTCCATTAAAAAATCTGTCACTATCATCAGGGATGATTTCCTCATCAGCATATTTTTAGAAGCACCCAAGATGGTACATTCTATATATACAAGGTCAATGACAATCTAAGAAAACTAAATTGAAGGTAGCAGTCAAAAAAATAAATTTGTAAAATGGAGTTCACAAAGGATAAAAATCATATGGTCTCTCATTAAATGTAGAAAAAAATTGATAAAATTCAAGACCCTTTTATGATAAAAATGAAGAATCTCAAAATAGTGTGCTACTGGCATACAGACAGATAATATATAAGAATGGAACAGAATAGTGAGTCCAGAAATAAACCCATGCATATATGGTCAACTGATGTTCAGCAAGAATGCCAATCTAATCTTCAGGAAATGAGGGCTACGAGTATAAAAATAAAATATTAAAAACTAAAAGAAAAGAATACCAAGTACCACAATGGATAAACGATAATTTCTTCACAAATGGTATTGTAAAAATTGAATATTCACATGAAAAGAATGAAATTGGACCCTTCTATCACACAAAAATCAACTCAAAATATATTAAACACTTAGATGTAAGATCTGAAACTATGAAACTATTAGAAGAAACACTGGGTAAAACTTCATGACGTTGGTTTTAGCAATGATTTGATGAATGTTGACACCAAAAGCATGGGCAACCAAAGCAAAAATAGACAAGTGGGACTACAGCAAACTAAAAATCTTCTGCAAATCAAAGGAAATGATCAATAGAGTGAAAAAGCAACCTACATAATGAGAGGAAACTTTTGCAAATCATATATCTGATAAGCGTTTAAACTCCAAAATATATAAGGGACTCAATAATAAAATAAGTAATAACTTAATTTAAAAATGGGCTAAAACCTTGAATAGACATTTTTCCAAAAAACACAAATGACTAACGGGTGGGAAAAGATGCTCAATATCACTAATAATTGAGGAAATACAAGTCAAAACCACAATGAGATATCATGTCGCACCTGTTAGGATGGCTATTATCAAAAACAGAAAAGGTAAGTGTTGGTGAGGTTGTGGATAAATTGTTGCCCTTGCGCACTGTTGGGAGGGATGTAAACTGGTACAGTCACTGTGGAAAACTGTTTGAAGGTTCCTCAAAAAATAAAAACAGAACTACCATATAATTCAGCAATCCCATTCTGGGTATTTATCCAAAAGAATTGAAACTAGGGTTTCTAAGAGACATTTTTTCCATATTTATTTCAGTACTATTCACAATAGCCAAATGTAAAACAATCTAGATGTCTATCAACATATAAATGCATAAAAAATTTACTTTGGTATATGCATACAATAAAATACTATTCAGCCCTAGAAAAGAAGGAAATGCTGCCATATGTGACAACATGGATTAAAGTAAGGACATTGTACTAAGTGAAATAAGCCAATCACAGAAGGACAAATACCACAATATTCCCCTTACATGAGGTACTAAAATTATCAGATTCAAGGGGGCAAACAATATAATTGTGGTTACCAGGGCTAAGTGGTATGGGGAAACAAGAAGTTGCTGATCAATGGGCACAAAATTTCAGCTTTCCAAGATGAATAAATTCTTGATACGTGCTGTGTGACATTGTGCCTATACATAACAATGTTATATTGTACACTTAAAAATCTGTGAAGAGGGTAGATCTGATGCTAAGTGGTTTTACCATAATTAAAATTTAAAATAAATAAATAAATTCTCACTCACAAGTGACAGCTAAACTACCAGAACACAAAGGCCTAAGAATGATATAATGGACTTTGGGTACTTGGGGTAGGGAAAAATGGGAGGGAGTTGAGGGATAAAAGACTACATATTTGGTACAGTGTAAACTGCTTGGGTGACAGGTGCACTAAAATTTCAAAAATCACCACAAAAGAATTTATCCACATAACCAAAAACCACCTGTACCCTAAAAAACTATTGAAACAAACATTTTTAAAAATCTCAAAAAATAGATAAATTTCAGGTAATTATTCTTCAATACAACCCTGTATGACTTTTAAAAACATACTCATTAAATCTCATATGATTCATTCAGAATACATCAGACTTATGTACTGAGCATTGTTTATGTGTGCAGTCAGTATGTTTTAGAAGGGCAGTGAGTAACTTAACATGATATCATGGTATCATTATACACAGCAATGTTAATGTAACACGTTACATTGTTACACAATGTATAACACAACACACTGCTCACTGCAACCTCTGCCTACTGGGTTCAAACGATTCTACTGCCTCAGGCTCCCGAGTAGCTGGGATTACAGGCGCCCACCACCACACCCGGCTAATTTTTTTGTATTTTTAGTAGAGACGGGGTTTCACCATGTTGGCCAGGCTGGTTGTGAACTCCTGACCTCAAGTGATCCGCCCGCCTCGGCCTCCCAAAGTGCTGGGATTACAGGTGTGAGCCACATGCCCAGCCAACACATATATTAATGAAAGTGATGGAAGATTTCACCAAACAGTGAGAACATATCTATTTTATTCATCAAAAAATGAGAACATATTTCATTAAGAAAACCAGGACTTTTGGTTTCTACTTTGGTATCTGTGGAGCTTAGAAGTTGCCATTCTGTGTTAACAACTTATGAAAAGCTGAACAAACAGAAAAATCAACAACATTTCTTAGATTAATCAGAGAAGTGAGGTTACAGGGCAAACCACTGCTTCAAAAATTGGTGAGAAAGGCAAATATAGAAAATCACAACTTACCTGAGCAGAAATCCATGAGTATAAACCTCCACTGGAAGCAGTGCTGGGTAAGGAAAACCTAAGCTGTAAATGACAAATTGGTGAAGGCTCAGTTTGAACAAGTCTGAAAGTGAGACTTGTTCCAAAAGTGTCTAGAAAGGATTAGTCATAGGGGCATACCCGTTCTTTTGTGAGTTTTACCTACAGGAGCTCTACCACCTCCTCACAGCAATTATCAAAGGAAAAAAAAATCTCATTTTCAGTAGAGGGAGGGGAATTGTAGCCATTTCAAATACATCAGAACATTCTGTAACAAAGTCTGCCCTCAGGAGAAACTATTTTACCAGAACCTAATGTGCCAATGTTTATCAGAGCCTAACGCAGTTAGGGGAAGGGAAATATCCAACTCCAGCTTCCTCTAGTTTTCCTAGCCCACTTTGGGAGGTGGGGGACCTGAGAAGTGTTTGAAAGTTCACAGTCCAGGGATAGGGGGTCACCAAAAGACTGAGATCTAATTGTAAGACTGAAACATTTTCCTCTTTTCACGTCTTACTTTGCATTACTGAAGATATATTTACTGAAATTTCTTTTACCCATACATCAAGCTCATCTTTCAACATAAAAATTACAAGACATACTAAAGGCAAAAATGAAACAGAACAAATGTCAGAACAGAGTCAGATATGATAGAAATGTTGTAACTGACAGTGACAGGTGCAGAGAAACTCTAGGCAGACAGGGGTTGGTCCCTGGCAAATCCCCACCTTTGAACCAAAAAGCCTGAAACTCGCAGCCCAAAGTGAGAACTTCCATCCCTGTGTGTCCACTCTCTCCCGATTGGTTCTTTCTGAATAATGTCTTTTTATCAATCGAATGTTTCCTTTTTGAAAACTACCTATGGCCCACCTTGTCCCCATCCTGTGCCTATAAGACCCCAGACTCAGCCGGCAGAGGTTAGAAGCAGCTGGACATCGGGAAGAAGCACCTGGATGTCAGAGAGAGGCAGCTTGACTTCAGAGACAGTGGCTGGACATCGGAGAGAGGTGGCTTGACTTCAGGGGAGAGTAACTTCCCTTCCTGTCCCCTTTCCAGCTCCCCTCTCTACTGAGAGCCACTTTCATCACTCAACAAAATTCTCCACATTCACCATCTTTCAATTCGTCCATGTGACCTCAATCCTCTTGGGCACCAGACTAGAATTCAAGATGCACTGGGTGTGAATACCCAAAAAGGCTGTCACACTGACACTTTGCCCTTGCTGGCGGAAGGCAGCTGCCCCATGCTACAAGACAAAGGGCCCACTGAGCTGATAACACACTGCTGTCTACAGATGGCAGAGCTAAGAGAGCTCAGCCTCTGGGGTCTTGAGGTCACAGGCACCCTGACCTGGACACTCCCATGGGCCTGCCTGGAGTTCACTTCTTCCAGCACCAAAGAGGCTGGTTCCTGCCCTTGTTTGTTTGCATGCTTCCACCCATGAGGGGTTGAGTGGGTGGGCTTGGTAAGTGATGCACCCCTGTCATGAATCTTAGGAAGGGGTCAAGAAAATACCCTGCAATATAATTATAAGGTAAGGAATTTTTTAAGCTATGATTAATATGCAAAGAACTTTAATGAAAAAAGTAGGCAACTTGAAAAATACAGATGGATAATGTAAGCAGAGAGATGAAAATTCTAAGAAAGAATTAAGATAAAAAGTGCCTTCAGTAAACTCATAGTAGAGTGGACACAGCTGAGGAAAAAAATCTCTGAGCTTGAGGATATGACAATAAAAACTTCCAAACCTGAAAAGCAAAGAGAAAAAAAGACTGAAAAAACCCACAACAAAGCAGAATATTCAAGAATTGTAGAATAACCAAAAAAGGTCTAACAAGCATGTGATGGGAACACCAGAAGGAAAAGAAAGAAACAGAAGCAATATTTGAAGCAATAATGACTGATAATTTCCCCACATTAATGTCCAAACTTCAGATCAAGGAAGCTCAGGGAACACCCAACAGGATAAAAATCATTATACCTTTGTCTAAATCGACAGAACGTGTTAACACTTAGAATGTACCCTAATGTTAACAATGGACTTTGGGTGATAATGATGTATCAATGCAGGTACCAACTGAGTTCAGGGTGTCTGTCAATAATGGGGGAGGTGGTGAGTGTGTGGGGACTGGGGACATATGGGAACCTTTTTTACTTTCTCCTCAGTTTTGCTGTGAACCTAAAACAGGCTATATAAAATAAAGTTTATTACTAACAAAAACAAAAACAACTTGTCGTTTGCAAGTTTCAGTGCATTTTGTTTAGCAGAAACACTGGTCTAAAGGAATAGCTGGGCTTTTTCTCTTCAATACTAAATGAGACGCCTTCATATCAAATGCTTCCATAAATCCCTGTCATAAACTCATAGAATAACCATAAAATTACTGATATTATCTTAGCTGCACTGAAATTTAAACTATCCTTTTCTTTCTCAACTATGCACAAAAGAACATTTGTCCGTGCTAGAATTGGTTCCTAGATTTAAGATAAGTCAGTATGAGTAAAAGGAAAACCTTAATCTCGCGAATTTGTAATAATCTATCATATACCAAGTAGTAACAATGAAAATTGTATGCTTCATCCTGGATTCTTTCCACATTCATTTCCAGACAGGACCCACAGCATACATCCTACATGTGATTTGTGAAAGGAAAAACTCTCTGTGCTCTCTCTAGGGCCTTCTCATCTCCTGTCAGACTAGTGAACAAGATGAGTTTCTTTTTATAACGACAAGGCACAAAGATAATTTATCAACTGGAGAGCACAAACAATCCTTTATTCAGCAGTATGACAAAAGGTTTATTTAGCTTCTGGCATCTACTATCATTCTTGCAAGAACTAGGCCCAAGAGCCAATACGATAATTAATACATTTCCAACATCTGGGCAATAAAACAATTTTTTAGGCATGTTAAACAATGCCAATAGCAAATGAAAACCTCCCATTCTCGTATTTATCTACCTGAACCTTTCACTGCAGAGCCAAATTCACCTGTGTTCTGGCTATAAAATGGGGATAGTGATGACATACTAGGAAGATACTACACAATTTGGGAAATCCATATTACTAAGTGTCATTTAATCATACAGACAGTGATGATATCACCTGCTGAGCCTAATGGAGACTAACCCTTGCCAAGAGTGCAGTATTAAGTTAAATGGCAGGTGAGTGATATCAATCATCACATTGAATAAGGGAACCAAATTTAAAGAAAGAGTTGGAGTCTCAGTTTCTCTACTTGTTCTCCAGCAGGCTTCTTCTCTATTCACAAACAGAAAGAAAAATTGTGTTATGTGGAGTTCCAAAATTTGGAAGATATTTAAATCCACCTTACATTTTGATCCTGCAAGTGGAGAATTTATCCTGTACATTGTTCCATATGTAGATTCTTGTTACAGCCAAATGTGATTCCTATCAAATCTATTCCTGTGACTAAAACTGCTGTTCTGTGCACTGAAGCATACTCCATGTGCTTATCTCCTTCACATCCATTGAAATTGGATATTTCTCATAGTTTACAAGCAAACCTACTCTCCTGAAATTAACTTGTTGGTGCAAAAGATATCAAAACAATCAATTCATAATTCTATAGAAAAAATATACAATAATACTTTTAAAATTCAAACGTAGTGTATGGACCTTATCATTTCACATGGGGTATAATTTTTGATGTTCCCAAATTAATCTAAGCATGTTGGCACTATTCTTATCTAACTATGCTATTTAGTTATATATCCTGACTTATTGTTTGCTAGTGAAAAAAATCATTTAAAATCCATGAATATAGAAATACTATTTATAATTTATTCATTTATTTTCTGAGACAGGGTCTCGCTCCCATCACCCTGGCTAGAGTGCAGCGTTTAGTTTCACAGTATGGCTCATTGGAGCTTCAACTTCCCAAGCTCAGGTGACCCTCCCAACTCAGCCTCCTCAGTAGTAGAGACTATAGGCACACACCACCATGCTCAGCTAATTTTTGTATTTTATGCAGAAATGGGGTTTCACCATGTTACCCAGGCAGGTCACGAACTAAATACATTTTTGATATCAAAAATTTGAAAAAATAAAAACAAATCTAGAAAGAGTAATGGGAACTATATATGGAAAAAAGCGTCAAATGGGATGAAAATAGTTTAAAAATCCTTAAAAATATCTAAATGTTAAAAACATCAAGATGTGTTATACATATACTTACTTTGTAGCATCAAGTTTTGACTTAGAGCTGAATAGGTTATGTTAGAATTTTACTTAGTGCCTTATTTGTGGCAGTGGGTGGGTGGTGGAAAAGGAGACTTTATAACAATAAGATACTATTTAATGAACTTCAGGTTTCAACATATTCTTAAATATGGACCCGGTATGAAAGAAATTTGTATGTATTCTAGAGGTGCCATCTTTCTGATGGACTTGGGATGATGGAACTTGACATGAAAATATCAAAAGAACATCAGGACTATCATGGAAAATTGTTGCATTATAAATGAGAAGACACCTGATACAAATGGGCTGGTTGAGCTGGAGCAGTGGAGTCAGGGGGTTAGAATGAACAGGTGGACCAAGAAAAGAGTTCGGGCTGGGCTCGACCCTACTAGGAAACAGTCTGCCTCCCTCATATTCGCCCTAGGGCTGTTAGCCCTGGAGAGGAGAGTTCGATAAGACTGGAGAACTGTATTCCTTGGGGAGCAAACTGAAGAGCTGTGGACTTCTTTTTTAATGAGCAGGACAAAAACTCAAGGTTGCTAACTCAGAGGAAACTGGCAAATGACCCACAGGACCAGCAGACCAAAAAGGAGCAGAGGGAAGGCAGGAGTAGAGGGCTCCAGAGAAGAACAACCATAGAGGAAAAACCACTTCCACGGGAAGAGTCACGTACCTCTACCCCAACCCATTTTCTCCTGGCACTTCTAAGATGTAATAATGTTCCTGCAGATGTATAATACGGGGAGCCTCAGGGATAGCGAAGATTACACAGGAAAGCCTCCCTGGCTTACATTTTATTTTCCATGGTAGTTTCATGGTATCTCAATCAAGACCAAGTGGAAAAGAAAAGTCCCTAGATGACATAAAATCACCTAAGACACAAAAGGATCTGTCAGAAAAAATAATTACATGCATCATAACCTAATTTATTACCTCATTGATCAAATAGAAGAGACATGTAGTAATACCTTTGTAACCCTGGCTGTAAAACAAAAGAATTGCTAATCATAACACTAACATTATGAACCAAAATTACAAAGAGAAGAAGAAAAAGCCAAAGCAAAAATAAGAAAGGAGTTACAGGTTACAAATACTCTTAGCAGTGATATGTTAGCCTCTAAAAGTAGACAAAAGAACCCTAAAGTGGATCTTCTTTATAGGAAAAAACACCAAGTATTCAGTTGTCCTGAAGACAGCATTTACAACACACTAATTCTATCACTAACATTTATTAGGTACCTGATATGTACCTCTCAATTAATGAGGTAGTATGAGGTAGTGTTAACACCCTCTTTTTACAGTTGAGTAAACTGCGCTGTAACTAAATAAATTGTCTAGGGTCACAAAACTGCATGTTTAACAAAGGAGCCAGAAGTTAAACCCAGATATGTTGCTTCAAAGCCAATGTCTTCCCTAATACCAATGCCTGTTTGCATTTTTTTGTATTCTAACAACTGTCAGGAAAAGTGGGCCATATTTAGCATAATGTAATACTTATAGTCACGATTAAATCATTTTTAGAATGTAGGCAGGAATATATATGTACACACACACACACACTATTTGGGAAAGTAAGGAAAGATGTACTGCATTTTGAAATAATTTCATCAATACAACATATAAAAAATTCTACATTTACATAAATAACTATTACCTGAAAACAATCACAAAGACAAATGATTACTTGCTAATTTGCTGAAGACCATGTACCATGGTGGACATACTAAGTGAAATCATAATTATTTCAATAGCAATCATAGAATTCAAATATATTTTCTCCTATTGGGCATTAGTAATGACCATGAGAAATGAAAATTTCCATTCCAAAACAAAACAATCCAGTTAAGAAGAGAGAGCTAATTGTGCTATCATTTTTTTTTATTTTAATTGGATGGATTTGATTGTCCTTTACAAACCATGAAAAGATTCCTCGACCAATTCCTCCACTCTCAGTGTGACAAAATGTTAAGGGCGGTTCTTGGTTCCTCCTTCCATTCAAAAGCATAGATTTGTGTGGTCCAGAACAGAATAAACCTGAGGTTAATTCTTTCTCATCAGCAGCAAACATGTACTTATTCCCTACAGCAGAAGTGAAAAAATTTAATCCAAAAGAATTATTTTCCTGCAGAGAAGTGTGAAGTAGCAAGTGTTCAGTGACCCAACTCTACATTAAAATCTGTTTCAGCCTGAAGTGAGAAGGGTTTGGGTGCAAAGAAGAGTAAGGACGAAAAAGAATACTGCACATTAAGTAAGGCAAGACACTTGCACAACCATTTGAAAAACCAAGTGTTACAACTGAGTTTAAATGTACAACTTGTGACATTCTTTTTCATTTTGACCTTTCTTTTAAAAACTAGAGTCTCCTCCTTAAAAAGTTTTTCTGAACACTAAACACAATGACTGACACAACTGAAAATATAGCATAATGCTGTAGTTCTTGATCATTTTGTGATAGGGATCTCTTGGCAATCTGGTGAACCAAGTCATTGTCCCAGAATGTTTTAAAATTCATTAAAAGTAAACAAATATAGAATTCTGATGGAACCAGTAATACTGTTAACAATATTTTAAATAAATGTAATATGGGTATTTATATGTCTCTTAGCACATTCTGTAACAAAACATAGTAGCAGGTTTAATAGCTACCATAATTTCAAGGTAGGGATGAGTAAAAATAATATTTTAAAATGCCTGTAACAACTGTAAAATGATATGAAATATTTGTGTTTTCTGTAACTGTTGAAGTCACAATTATAGCTAGTTACTAGTGTGGTGTGTTGTCTAAATTCATAATTAAGGGAAATGTTACAATTCAGCAAAGGACTATGAATTTGCCCAAGAAATCTTGACAGTTAAAAAAAACTAAAATAATATAATGGTAAAATCAGTTAAATCTAAGAGTTGCAGAAAGTTTTATTCAACCTCATTTCGTTAAAATCTGAAATATATAGACTCTAACAGGAAGACATTTCCTAGATATAAAATGGCAACCCTCACCTTTAGTATGTCGAACTAGAAGCACTCCAAATTCTTTTCTCTCGTAAGTATGTTTTCAAGAGGATAGAAAATTCCTTTTGCCAAAGGAAAAAACAGCAGACACCATTTTGTAAAAAGTATGGTTAATAATATGGTCAAGGTTCAAGGTTTATCAGGAACACTAAGCAAAAATGTATATTTTCATTATATTTGTTGATTTATTTATAAATATTTACCTGGTGCCAACTATATGCTAGTGGTTTTAGAAATACGTGGTATTAGCTCTTGAAATTATTACTTGTTCATTTGTTCATTCATTAAACATATATACATACAAATTCTGTAACAGGCAAATTATTATTTTGGGTGTTGTACAGCAATGAACAATATACATATAGTTCTTTATCCCATAAAGCCTCTATTATAGCAGATGAGAAAGACTTCAAACAAGTAGTTATTTAAGTCATTATTTAATAATTGTGCTAAATTCAGTGACAGAGAGGAATCGACTGCCAATGACAGTTAGGATAACAAGAAGATCCTGAATGGTCAGGAAGGGCTTCTGAGGAAGTGACATTTTCACCAAGCTTTGAAGAATAGTTTAGGTAATGGGAGATGAGGTAAGGTACAACGGATGCAGAGAACTTTCAAGGTGGAGGTAATATTCCAAGTATACCAAGG
This sequence comes from Homo sapiens, assembly GCF_000001405.40. Taxonomy (NCBI): domain Eukaryota; kingdom Metazoa; phylum Chordata; class Mammalia; order Primates; family Hominidae; genus Homo; species Homo sapiens. The sequence goes on along the minus strand of NC_000003.12, from coordinate 173,505,579 downwards.
AACAGTATACCAAGGAGCTTGATATACTGAAAGACCCTTAGGAGAAGAGTGGTGCAGAATATCAGAATTCTCTGGAGAGGAGGCAGATATTAAATTCTAAAGGGCATTATGGGCTATATTAAACACATGGTCACTAATTAAAGAATTATAGGAAGCCAATGCAGAATTTTAAGTAAGGCACTGGCATGATGTAGATCTATGTTCTCAAAAGTTTGCTTTGGTTGCAATATGGCTGCTGGATTCCATGCATGGAGCTCCATTACAATCTGCCAATGCTGTAAGCCAGGTAGGGGTTAAAGTGACTTGAATTCAGGTTACAGCAGTGGAAACTGGAACTAGGATAATTCAAGGAGGTGTTCATAAATTAAAAGTGATGTCTTAATAAAGAAGATGAAAAAGTTGGGCATCCAGAGTAAGTCTCTGTTTCCTGACTCAAGCAATGGTTGAAGAGTGATGTCATTTACAGAGACACAGAATGGAAGAGGAAGTCTGGATGTGAAGGAGTCCATGTGTGTGTGGCGGGGGCAAGGGGTGGGGGAAGGGCATATTTTGTTCAATTATAGACTTGTTAAACTTGAGGTGTCCATGAGAGAGTCAACTGAAGATATCAAACAGGCTCTGAAATCTCTGGATCTGCTCTTTAGATTTGAGGCCTTAATTGTAAATATTTATTTAGGAGTTTTTCGTCTTGAGGAAGTCCAACACGAAATAGACTTAAGAGGACAAGCCTGCAGGGAATTCTGAAAGAAGTAATGGGAATGGTAGGAAGAAAAGATAAGGGAAAGAGAACGTGGTCAATGGAGGTCAAATGTTGCTGAGAGATCACCAATGAAGAGGACTGAAAGATGATGAATGGTGACATCAAGTGATGAAAAAGTCTATTTTGGTGGAGAGTTCGTGTGAAACCAGACTGGAGTGGGTTGAAGGGTGAAAGAGAAAAGAGGACATGGAAATCTTGGGTATAAACAGGTCTTTCTTAACCTTGGGCTGTGAATGCAGTAGACAAGTGTGGATAGCAGATGGGAGGTTAAGAGATTTCAAGGGTCTCCATAATATCAAAATATTTTAACAGAAAGATATGTGCTTTGCAAACTCTATTTTTCCTCTTTTTAGGTTAGATTTTGAATTACTGACGTTGAAAATGTAAATCTGAAGTAAATTCAATATACGGGGATTAAAAACACTATTTCTGAAAACGCTAAAGCACACATATGAGCTATCAGTTTAGAATCTCAGAATGTATTCCATTACATACATTTCCTCATTAATTCACCAAATGCTGTACACATATGCTGTATATAGTGTATAAATAAGCAAGTGTGTGGATTACACTCAATAACTAGAACCAGCATTACCTATAGCCTGCAGATAAACATTCTGAAGGGGTGTGCCTATAGTGGTCCAATGAAACAGAAACAAAGATAAAAATTGTATGGACCATTGACATTTTTCTAAATCTTCTGAAGGGAGGCATTATTCATAACTAAAGTTGATTACATTTCTCATCAAGATTAATTGGCAGTTTATGACACATATGTGCCATTATAAACCTCCTAATTATCAGATTTCTGATGTTGCTATTTTCCTATCTTGCTACCAATAACTCATATGTGTTATTTCTTCTCTTCAGCGAGCAAAAGAAGCAAAGTGCTTTAAATTGAAGATAATAAGAAAAGAAAAAAAAATCCCAGTCAGGATTCCCTTCTAGTTATGCATATGGAATTTCCCATGAAAGAAATTTATATAATGTAAAAATTACCATCAAGTATCAGATTTACAGTGCTACACCCTGTAGCACCTTTGGAAATGGAGTTAAGTCTTTCAGGATAATTAAGAGACTGGTAAACCAACAAATTAATAAACTATCTTCAGGTGGCCTCAAAAAGATAATATGATTCCTACAAAGTGACAAGCATTCCCAGGGAGAATTGCAGACACTAGGGATGTCTGGTCTGTAACAGCTTAGTAGGCCAAATTTATCAACAATCTTTTAAGTGAAAAACAAATAATTTAATTTAAAAAGTAAAATCTTCTACAAATGATTTTATATAAAATATATTTATAGGAATCTTTCTCATGTACAACTTCGTTTTTATAAATTATCAGATGTCAAGAATAAGCGTTTGCACATTATCTCATGCTGTTCAGTGTTTGGCTTGAAGCCCAGAAGAGGGTCATGCCTTTATAATGACGGAAAATGCAACTATAAAACACCCAAGGGATTTAGAACATGCTGCTGAGCCCTGAGAAAATGAGGTTCCCACACTGCTTTGCACACAGTAGGTACTCAGCATATATTTGCTAGAAGGTTTGTTTCATTTCCATATTGCAGAATTCTTATATATTTACTTAGTAGATGTTAACTAAGATTCTTAGTCTTCCAGTAATTGGATATGGAACTTAATACTTGTAAGGTCAGGTTAGTCATTCAATATCCTTAAGTGTTAGTTTATAAAATAGGGTTAAATACACTCACACGCACACACACACACACACAACATGCCATATACATACATCTATATGGCATGTTAATTGTGGGGGAAAAAAGAAGATACTATGAATAAGGCTGTATAAGTTGCAAAAGGTCTATAAAATTACATATATAATTCATAAACACAATGTGATTCATATATAATTCAACTTTAGTTTATGTAACTACAGTGAACAGCAATTCAAATATAAGTCTTTCAAGACTAGGAAGTGCATTTTACCTTCTGCAGCTGGCCTGATCATTGTTTCCTCTGAATATTTTAACATCAAATCCCTTTGTGAATGTCATATAGGAACTTAAAAGTACTGCCAGGGGAGGGGACGTCGATTAAAATTCAGTGATTTGTGCCGTCTGCTATTTCTCTTTCCCAGTTGCTCTACACTTAATATTTATATGCTGAACCAAATTATTAATACATGTCTTGTAGTACCTAATTTCATATAACAAGTATTCCTACATATACTTGTCAGTATAAAGAACAAGCTTACATGTTTGGTGAAACATACACACATACGTGCACACACATAAGTGAACTTGAAACGTGTGCTCATGAAGAAAACATTAGCTAGAAAACTATGTATCCCTTTTGTGAAAAATGAAATTCTGGCAACATCAGAACAGTAGCTCATATTCTCTGGAAGCATTTATTATATACATAGCTTGACACAGCACAAACCTCAAATCAACTTAATTTGTGTCATCTAAGAGTTCACACACAAATAAAGGTATCACATTTCATTGAAATTACTCCTTTAGACCTGAAGATTTATTTATATACTTTGGAAATTGGGAAAGTAAGATCTTCTCTTACTAAGTCTCTAGGAAAATTGCCAAGAACTAGAATTTAACGTTTATGGCCAAAAAATTAATAATCACTTCTGAACATTGAAAAATAGAATATCCACTCTTGATAATAGAGTTGATTGTTGTCAAAATGAACTACTCACCACTTGAAAGGTCTACTCTTGTAAAAATATTTGTGGAAAAAAATATTACAGTGTGACTTAACATACAGAGTCATAAGTGTTTAGCAACCTCAAAGTCTAGGTCATGACAAGCATTATTAAATCAAGCATGAGTGAGCAGATACCATGTAAGGATCTGTCATGTACTTTAAAACTGTGAGTACTCAGACACTGCCTTATTATTATAAGACCATGACTGTACCAAGGTATGTGGGTGCCCTGGGCAGGCTAACAACTTGGAGTCTTTCCAACCAATATTCTTTAAATAATTGTTCAGCATTTATTTAATAAGAAAGAGAAAAATCAATTTCCTTTTGATAAAAATCTTCTATCTATATCTATTCTTTACACTATGAGATGTTTTTACATACACTGAACATAAAAATAGAATTTATAGAATTTTATGTATAGAAATTCTATACGTAGAGAATTCTATAATTATTATTTTATATATAATTCTAATATATATAATTATACATAATTATCTGCCACTTCACATTTTCCTCCCATCTCTCAAAACTGGACAAAGTCTGTTACTCCATATCGCTAACAACAATAGTAACATCAATGGTATGTAGTAAACAGAACTACTGTATTATGATAAAGAATTTCTAAGTGGGAAGTAGATAAAGTCTCTGGGGCTTAAAGTTCTGTTTTTATTTAGATGTTTGCTTATCAAAATTTGCTAGGTTCTTACAAAGTAATTATTACTGGATGCTGTGAAAGTCTGAGAGATAAGCCTTCAGAGGTCATCCAATTACCTGTTTAAAACTCTGAGATACACTTGTAAGTGGGAGCTGAACAATGAGAACACATTGACACATGGAGGGGAACAACACACACTGGAACCTGCTGGTGGACTGCCGGGGGAGGGAGAGCATCAGGATAAATAGCTGATGCATGCAGGGCTTAATACCTAGATGATGGGTTGATAGGCGCAGCAAACCACCATGGCACTAAGTAACAAACCTGCACATCCTGCACATGTATCTGGAACTTAAAATAAACTAAAAATTAACAAAATAAATAAATACATAAAACTCTGAGATATCTTGGAAAAAGATTTTTAAAAACCTGGAGGATGTCAATTTCGAAGATACTAACACGGTCATTTGATTACTGTAAAAACCCAGTAGCTATTTTTTTAGTGTCTACCATGTGCAAGCAACGTGTTAAGTGCAGAGTAAATAATACCTGGTTCCCTTCCTAATGAAGCTCACAGATTAGCAAAGAATAAAAGCAGTTACTCAATTAACACCATTATATGGGCTCAGTGTTGTGAAGCATAAGCCCAGGATATCTTGGGAGCTTGTAGCAAGGGGACTAAACCCATGCTGAGGAGTTGGAGAAGGTATCTCTGTGAAAATAAGGTATTTAATAGACCAATAACAGGCACTGAAATTGATGCAATAATTAAAAGCTTACCAACCAAAAAATGTCCAGGACCAGATGAATTCACAGCCAAATTCTACCACAGGTACAAAGAGGAGCTGGTACCATTCCTTCTGAAACTATTCCAATCAATAGAAAAAGAGGGAATCTTCCCTAACTCATTTTATGAGGCCAGCATTATCCTGATACCAAAGCCTGGCACAGACACACAAAAAAAAGAGAATTTTAGAGCAATATCCCTGATGAACATAGATGCAAAAATCCTCAATAAAAGACTGGCAAACCGAATCCAGCAACACATCAAAAAGCTTATCCACCATGATCAAGTGGGCTTCATCCCTTGGAGGCAAGGCTGGTTCAACATATGCAAATCAATAAACGTAATCCAGCATATAAACAGAACCAAAGACAAAAACCACATGATTACCTCAATAGATGCAGAAAAGGCCTTTGACAAAATTCAACAACCTTTCATGCTACAAACTCTCAATAAATTAGGTATTCATGGGATGTATCTCAAAATAATAAGAGCTATCTATGACAAACCCACAGCCAGTATCATAATGAATGGACAAAAACTGGAAGCATTCCCTTTGAAAACTGGCACAAGACAGGGATGCCCTCTCTTACCACTCCTATTCAACATGGTGTTGGAAGTTCTAGCCAGGGCAATCAGGCAGGAGAAGGAAATAAAGGGTATTCAATTAGGAAAAGAGGAAGTCAAATTGTCCCTGTTTGCAGATGACATGATTGTATATCTAGAAAACCCCATTTCTCAGCCCAAAATCTTAAGCTGATAGGCAATTTCAGCAAAGTCTCAGGATACAAAATCAATGCCCAAAAATCACAAGTATTCTTATACACCAATAACAGACAAACAGAGAGCCAAATCATGAGTGAACTCCCATTCACAATTGCTTCAAAGAGAATAAAATACCTAGGAATCCAACTTACAAGGGATGTGAAGGATCTCTTCAAGGAGAACTACAAACCACTGCTCAATGAAATAAAAGAGGATACAAACAAATGGAAGAACATCCCATGCTCATGGGTAGGAAGAAACAATATCGTGAAAATGGCCACACTGCCCGAGGTAATTTATAGATTCAATGCCATCTCCATCAAGCTACCAATGACTTTCTTCACAGAATTGGAAAAAACTACTTTAAACTTCATATGGAACCAAAAAAGAGCCTGCATTGCCAAGTCAATCCTAACGCAAAAGAACAAAGCTGGAGGCATCACGCTACCTGACTTCAAACTATACTACAAGGCTACAGTAACCAAAACAGCATGGTACTGGTACCAAAACAGAGATATAGACCAATGGAACAGAACAGAGCTCTCAGAAATAATACCACACATCTACAACTATCTGATCTTTGACAAACCTGAGAAAAACAAGCAATGGGGAAAGGATTCCCTATTTAATAAATGGTGCTGGGAAAACTGGCTAGCCATATGTAGAAAGCTGAAACTGGATCCCTTCCTTATACCTTATACAAAAATAAATTCAAGATGGATTAAAGGCTTAAATGTTAGACCTAAAACCATAAAAACCCTAGAAGAAAACCTAGGCAATACCATTCAGGACATAGGCATGGGCAAGGACTTCATGTCTAAAACACCAAAAGCAATGGCAACAAAAGACAAAATTGACAAATGGGATCTAATTCAACTAAAGAGCTTCTGCACAGCAAAAGAAACTACCATCAGAGTGAACAGGCAACCTACAGAATGGGAGAAAATGTTTGCAATCTACTCATCTGACAAAGGGCTAATATCCAGAATCTACAATGAACTCAAACAAATTTACAAGAAAAAAACAAACAACCCCATCAAAAAGTGGGCGAAGGATATGAACAGACACTTCTCAAAAGAAGATATTTATGCAGCCAACAGACACATGAAAAAATGCTCATCATCACTGGCCATCAGAGAAATGAAAATCAAAACCACAATGAGATACCATCTCACACCAGTTAGAATGGCGATCATTAAAAAGTCAGGAAACAATAGGTGCTGGAGAGGATGTGAAGAAATAGGAACACTTTTACACTATTGGTGGGACTGTAAGCTAGTTCAAGCATTGTGGAAGTCAGTGTGGTGATTCCTCAGGGATCTAGAACTAGAAATACCATTTGACCCAGTCATCCCATTACTGGGTATATACCCAGAGGATTATAAAACATGCTACTATAAAGCCACATGCACACGTATGTTTATTGCGGCACTATTCACAATAGTAAAGACTTGGAACCAACCCAAATGTCCAACAATGATAGACTGGATTAAGAAAATGTGGCACATATACACCATGGAATACTATGCAGCCATAAAAATGATGAGTTCATGTCCTTTGTAGGGACATGGATGAAGCTGGAAACCATCATTCTCAGCAAACTATCACAAGGACAAAAAACCCAACACCGCATGTTGTCACTCATAGGTGGGAATTGAACAATGAGAACACATGGACACAGGAAGGGGAACATCACACACCGGGGACTGTTGTGGGGTGGGGGGAGTGGGGAGGGATAGCATTAGGAGATATACCTAATGTTAAATGAAGAGTTAATGGGTGCAGCACACCAACATGGCACATGTATACATATGTAACAAACCTGCACGTTGTGCACATGTACCCTAAAACTTAAAGTATAATACTAAAAAAAAATGAACCTACTCAGGGTTTAGAGAAACTGACATTTACCATCCAAATACAAATTTGAGAGGAAGCATGTTGTTAGTGATAACTAAAACCTTATAAAAAGTGCCTATCTTCTGAACAACAAAGGAATTTTTATTATGAAAATTATCAGATACATTCATATATATAAAGATATTTATTGCATTATTGTTTATGCAGACTATTTTTCTAGATACCATAAAATAACTGTCATAGTCAATAAAGATAATTATATTAAGGCAAACATTAAAAATAGCCTAGGCTACCTGGGCCTTGAATATTGATTTTTTTTCTAATGCAAATGTTCATTCTTATGACTGAATTTTAATAGAATATCAATTTGTGAATCATCAGAAGTTTTGACTAGTTAACATTTGGGATTTTTCCAAATGCAGGAATTGATTTGAAGACATTTTTTGTAGCTTACACACTACCTTTTGGTTGTTTAATTATTTTGTTATTTTTTTAAAGTGTGCTCTTAAAATTATGCTATGAAATAGATACATGTGTATATGTATGTAATTTTAATCTCAAACTTCATAGAAAGAAATGTCTAAATTATCTTGTGAGCTGATAATGCTAGTTTACTGGATAGCTATTTAAGAGAAGATATAAATAAGAATTTATTTATTTATTTATTTATTTATTTATTTTGAGATGGAGTTTCACACTTGTCGCCCAGGCTGGAGTGCAGTGGCATGCTCTTGGCTCACTGCAATCTCCACCTCCCGAATTCAAGCGATTCTCTTGCCTCAGCCTCCCTCTCAAGTAGCTGGGATTACAGGAGCATACCGCCATGCCTAGCTAATTTTTGTATTTTTAGTAGAGATGGAGTTTTGCCATATTGGCCAGGCTGGTCTCGAACTCCTGACCTCAGGTGATCTGCCCGCCTTGGCCTCCCAAAGTGCTGGGATTGCAGGCGTGAGCCACCGCACCTGGCCTAAATAAGGATATCTGAGAAAACAATGGCAAAGTAAGTCAGAAAACAAATAGCCTTTGTCTACTTAAAATGTTATCATGATGATTCATCAAGAAAGGTGCCCTCACACCACTGCAAAACTTTCTTTTTCTGCCATTTTAAAAGTAATTGGTACTCTGTAATAAAAGGATTAAACAATAGAATGAGAAAAGTAAAAAGTCTTCTGGAAGACTATAAGAAGCGCTAAGATTCAAAATCCTAGAGTTCGATTAAAAAGGAATTTAGTAAATATTAATAATAAGATCTCTATTTACAATACGAAGTCTTATTTCTTTAAATCTTATTCTAATTGTGTGTATTCTGTTTAAACACGTGAGTAATATTAATTAGGTAAATCCATCTATTTTTCTATATTCTCATTAAGAAAAATCCTTTATTTTGTCTCTCCATCAACCACATTTATGTTCATATTCCAAACTCACAACCAAAGCATCTCTGTCAATTGTGATAAGCTAACAGATAGGCTAAATATGAACGTGCTCCTGATTGAAGAATCCATATAGGTGGTCTCTCCAAGGTTTGTAAATTCAGTGTATCTCAGATATTCCCATGTTTTATAAAAACATTTATGAATTGAATAACCATATATATGTACATAAAAATTTAGTTCTGATCACCTGCAGTATAATCTGCCTTCTTGATAAATATAAATTTTAATATTTTGTATGTTTACATGAAATTACATATATTATTTGTATTAGATGAGGAAATATTTAGTAATCTAACCTTCACCTGTCCCCAGTATCCTAGAATATTCTAGAAGCTATCTATTCAAATGCGATTCTTGAACCAGCAGTATTGGCATCACTTAAGAGCCCATGATGGCAGCCACAACACAGACACTCAATAAAGGACTGACTAAATGAATATAAAGTGTATGAAGACATGGTCTCTAGTCTCAAAGTTGGGTAATGAAGGAGATGGAATCTTGTTAAGGAGAAACATAAAAGAAGGCAGGGAGACAGGAAAATCCAAGTATAATTGGTAGCACAAAATCTGCAAAAGCTGACAGGAGATGAGAACAAGCATAGATAGAGAAATTAGCAATATAAAAAAAAAGAATTGAAAATTGTCAATTACAGAGACACGGAACCACACCAGTATTTCTCAAAAAACCTTATACTGAATAAAAAAGCCAGTTACAAAAGTATACAAACTCTATGATTCAAATCATAAGAAGATATATGTCTTCTAGGAAACACAAACTTCATGTACAGAGACAGAAGCAGAGACTGGGATAGGGTGAAGATTTACTGGTATGGGGTACAAGAGAAATTTGTGGAGATGTTTAATATACTGTATCTTGATTATGATAATACACTTAAGATGGTGTATTTTGCTGTTTGTAATTTATACCTCAATAGAGTTTTTTTTTTTTTTTTTCAAAAAAGACTCTTAGAAAACCGGGAAAAGAAGAAAATTTCTTCAACCTGATAAAGGTGCTAGAAAATGCTACAGCTAATATCTAACTTAATGGTCAAATATTGAATGTAATTCTCCTCCTAAAATTAAGACAAAGGTAATGATGTATAGTCTCACAACTCACCCACTGTTTTACTAGAGGCCATACTCATTGCAATAAGAGAAAGAAATAAAATGTATAAACATTAGAAGGGTAGAAGTAAAACCACCTATATTTCCTAATGATATGAAAATTTACATAGAATATCCAAAGGAATGTACAAAATTGATAGAATAAACGAGTAATTTTAGACAGCTCAAATATCACAATATTAATGTATAAAAATTGTATATATTTTATATACCAGGAGAAACCCACTGAACTATGAAATTTAAAAATCAATTATGTTTGCAATAGCATCACCATAAAATATTTAGGAACAAATTTAGTCAAAGGTATGTAAGACCTATAAACTGAAAATGATAAAAGCATTGCTGAGAGAAAGTAAAGAAGATATAGATAGTTATACTCCTGAACTGAAAGACTTAACACTGTTAATATAGTAATGATCCTCAAATTACAAAAGATTCAACAAAACTTAATAACTCTAGTGACTATTTTATGAAAATTGATAAGCTGTTTATAAAACTTACATGGAAATGCAAAGCATCTAGAATGTTGAAAGCAATTTAGTAAAAGAACAAAGTTAGAGGATTTACACTACTTGCCTTCAAGAGTTAGTACAATTCTCAATAATCAAGACTGTATGATACTGGCCAAATAGATCAGTGAAAGAATATCAACATCAGAAATAAATCCCCAATTATTTATTCATTAGATATTTGACAAATATAAAAAAATGATCAAATAAGAAAAGGTAAGTCTTCTTAAAAAATGGTGCTAGAGTAACAACATTCGTATGGAAATTAGTGAACTCTCAGCCACTACCTCAAATCATGCATAAAAATAATTCAAACTATATATCTAAACACAAAATCTGAAATAAAAAGCTATTGGAGAAACATAAAATGTATGCATAACTTGATGTTAGTCAAAGTTTCTTAGGCATGTCACAGAATGTAAGCAAAGAGAGAAAAACAAATGATATATTAGACTTCATCAAATCAAAAAATTCTAATCTTTGAAAAACACCATTAAGAAAATGAATAGGAAAGCAATAACTTGAGATGCTATTTATAAAAATATATATCTGTCCAAGGGTTAGTATCTATGATATATTAAGGATAACTACAACTCAATAATAAAAAGATAACCACTAAAACAAATGGGCAGAACAACTGAAAAAAAGAAAAAAAAACATTTCACTAAAGAAGATACACAAATGCCCAAAAGCAGATGAAAAACTACTCAATGTCATCAATCAGGAGACAAATTCAAATTAAAACCACAATAAGATACCATTATACACTGACCAGAATGGCTAAAACTAAACAGAACAATACCAACAACAGAACCAAACACCACCACCACCACTCCCCGCACATGCACGCGCACACACACACACACACACACACACACTCACCTATAACACTAAATATTGACAAAGTTGTGAAGGAATGGGAAAAACAGGGCACAGATGAAAAAGATAAAAGAAACCACAAGTAACCAGAGAAGTCTGGATTATACAACACTTTAGAGAACTATCAACCATTTTTGGTAAGGCAAAATGCAGTAATCGCTGAATCTGAGGATAGCCATGTGGAAGTTTAATATAGTTTTATTTCAATTTTAATAAATTTTTAGAAACTTTCAAAAAAATCAAAAATAAGGGTAAAAATTCTGAAGAAATACTCTCTCTCTATATATATATATTCAATTAAATCATTTACACATGTCAAATCTTTTTCTATGTGTATTTGTTTCATAGAATAGTTGTTGACTATCTAAATTCTTGTGCTACACTGCCTACATTTTAATCCAGTTTTCCATTTACTGGTTGTGTGAATGTGGACAAAGTATTTGGCCTTCTGTGCCTCAATTTTCTCATCTGTAATATATAAGTTATGACAGTACTATTTCCATGTGTTTGCTGTTAACACTGAAAGAGTTTATGAATGTACAGGACTTGGAATTTTACCCAGCACATGGTAAACACTATAAAATGTTAGCTATTATAGTATTATTAAATACATATATTAACTAACATACATCACCCACTCCAAATATATTTACAATAGACAAGAGTGCTTACTAAAGTTGAGTTGCTAATCCCCAATTTTATCAGCAGCTTCAAATGATTAACACAAACTGCAGTTCATTATTGCTTGCTGAAATTAGGCCATTTTCTACTCTTTGGACCAAGGAGCATGTAAAAATGAGTCCCTTCACTAGTAGGCAAAATATGGCACACATCCAGAAGGCAGGGACTGTGGTTCATATCTCATAAACACGCCTGGATAGAATTCTCAGAAAAGCGGCTCAATAGCTGTGTGACTTGGGGCATGATATTTAATGTTGCTGAACTTCAATTTCTTCGTTTGTAAAATGAAGTTGATAATACCCAATAGGCATATATTGAAGAATAAATGAAATTTACCATAGGTAAAACTTTAATCCAAAGTATGATGTATAATGTGAATTCAATAAGTGCAGCTCTCACTTTTTACTACTGGAGAAATATTCATTAACATATAATAATAATATGTTTCAGGGGCCACTGACAATGACCTGGAGCTAGAGGATAGACTCGAATATCCAGAAAATTCCTTCTACCCAGGATTCCTAAGGAGATACTAATATTTCCCAAGTTAGAACATTGGAATTCCAAATTTTCAGCCTAAAGCATAGGGTTTCTCTAGCATGATTTATTCACACTATCATCTGCTTTAATAATTCAGTGCAAATAATGTAATCAAAGATTACAGATTCCTCTTTCCTTCTTTGGTTTTCTTCCAACCTATTCTACTTTTGTACTGATACAGTAAACTATTGTTTTTGCAATGGATTCTGATTTAATATCTTTAAAAATATCTCCCTTGCCAATTATATTTCTTGCTATGTAATTATGACTAAGTAATTATTGTATTCTAATCTTGTAATAATTTAATTAAATAGAAGCATGAGCCACATATATGCACACTAATTTCAACCTTGCCTAGAAAATATCCAAATATATAGGAAATTCTACTGTAACAAATATTATCATTTATAACATTCATTTTTTTCTTCAATCAAATACAGCTTGATTGACCCATAAGAAATATATATCTGCAGTATTGTGCATGTACCAATTAATATGCCTAGAACCCTAACCATAAATGAATTAAGCAATATATCTAAGAAGGTAAACATGAAATGCTTAGGCTCATTAAATGATTCTATGTGACAGGTCTACTTTATACAGAGGTATTATCGAATGCAGATGCAGGGAGACATATTCCTAGTAATAACACACGTTAACACTCATTGACACCTACTAGAAGTCAGATACTGCACTAAACACTTTTCGTGCATTTTTCCTTAAATTCTTTACATCAACTTTATGATGTAAGTATTATTATTTCACCATTTTATGTAAAGAACTGAGGCTTGGAGAAATTATACATAGAGTAAACCCAGAGGTGTAAATTCAAATTCTGTCTATCTTGCTCTCATATCCCATCCTTTACCCACTATCTTGCTTCCTTGTCAGTGAGGAGGAATTACAGCACTCAAGTGAGAATAATAAGGGTGCTAAGGATCACAGGTGGGTCACATTAAGTAGTAGAATAAATGGAATTTGGTGAGTGGTGTTATAGCATAGGATATTAATGGCATAGTTCAGGGGTTAATGGCAACTTAGGATGACTCCTAAAACTGGCTTCAGCATGTGATTCTATAGGGAGCTAAATTAGGAGCAGATTTAGTAAAGGAAATAATGCTCAGTTTAGGAGATTTTGACGTATCAAGGAAAATAAGAACCATCCTAGAGATATAGATATGGAAGTCATAAATGTATGGCGGATAATTGAAGCCTAGCACAAACATGACTGCTTCAGACAGTATTAGCAGACATGAAACCCAGAAAAATATTAATTAAGAAGTAAGCTTATATGAGGCCAGCATCATCTTAACACCAAAGCCTGGCAGATACACAACAAAAAAAGTGAATTTCAGACCAATATCCTTGATGACCATTGATGCAAAAATCCTCAGTAACATACTGGCAAACCGAATCCAGCAGCACATCAAAAAGCTTATCCACCATGATCAAGTGGGCTTCATCCCTCAGATGCAAGGCTGGTTCAACATATGAAAATCAATAAACATAATCCAGCGTATAAACAGAACCAATGACAAAAACCACATGATTATCTCAATAGATGCAGAAAAGGCCTTTGACAAAATTCAACAGCTCTTCATGCTAAAAACTGTCAATAAGTTAGGTATTGATGGGACGTATCTCAAAATAATAAGAGCTATCTATGACAAACCCACAGCCAATATCATACTGAATGGACAAAAACTGGAAGTATTCCCTTTGAAAACTGGCACAAGACAGGGATGCCCTCTCTCACCACTCCTATTCAACATAGTGTTGGAAGTTCTGGCCACGGCAATCAGGCAGGAGAAAGAAATAAAGGGTATTCAGTTAGGAAAAGAGGAAGTCAAATTGTCCCTGTTTGCAGATGACATGATTGTATATCTAGAAAACCCCATCGTCACAGCCCAAAATCTCCTTAAGCTGATAAGCAACTTCAGCAAAGTCTCAGGATACAAAATCAATGTGCAAAAATCACAAGCATTCTTATACACCAATAACAGACAAACAGAGAGCCAAATCATGAATGAACTCCCATTCACAATTGCTTCAAAGAGAATAAAATACCTAGGAATCCAACTTACAAGGGATGTGAAGGACCTCTTCAAGGAGAACTACAAACCACTGCTCAATGAAATAAAAGAGGATACAAACAAATGGAAGAACATCCCATGCTCATGGATAGGAAGAATCAATATCGTGAAAATCGCCATACTGCCCAAGGTAATTTATAGATTCAATGCCATCTCCATCAAGCTACTAATGACTTTCTTCACAGAACTGGAAAAAGCTACTTTAAAGTTCATATGGAACCACAAAAGAGCCCACATTGCCAAGTCAATCTTAAGCCAAAAGAACAAAGCTGGAGGCATCATGCTACCTGACTTCAAACTATACTACAAGGCTACAGTAACCAAAACAGCATGGTACTGGTACCAAAACAGAGATATAGACCAATGGAACAGAACAGAGCTCTCAGAAATAATACCACACATCTACAACTATCTGATCTTTGACAAACCTGAGAAAAACAAGCAATGGGGAAAGGATTCCCTATTTAATAAATGGTGCTGGGAAAACTGGCTAGCCATATGTAGAAAGCTGAAACTGGATCCCTTCCTTACACCTTACACAAAAATAAATTCAAGATGGATTAAAGGCTTAAATGTTAGACCTAAAACCATAAAAACCCTAGAAGAAAACCTAGGCAATAAAAAAATACCATTTAGGACATAGGCATGGGCAAGGACTTCATGTCTAAAACACCAAAAGCAATGGCAACAAAAGACAAAATTGACAAGTGGGATCAAATTAAACTAAAGAGCTTCTGCACAGCAAAAGAAACTACCATCAGAGTGAACAGGCAACCTACAGAATGGGAGAAAATGTTTGCAACCTACTCATCTGACAACGGGCTAATATCCACAATCTACAAACAACACAAACAAATTTACAAGAAAAAAACAAACAACCCCATCAAAAAGTGGACAAAGGATATGAACAGACACTTCTCAAAAGAAGACATTTATGCAGCCAAAAGACACATGAAAAAATGCTCATCATCACTGGCCATCAGAGAAATGGAAAACAAAACCACAATGAGATACCATCTCACACCAGTTAGAATGGCAATCATTAAAAAGTCAGGAAACAACAGGTGCTGGAGAGGATGTGGAGACATAGGAACACTTTTACACTGTTGGTGGGACTGTAAACTGGTTCAAGCATTGTGGAAGTCAGTGTGGCGATTCCTCAGGGATCTAGAACTAGAAATACCATTTGACCCAGCCATCCCATTACTGGGTATATACCCAAAGGATTATAAATCATGCTGCTATAAAGACACATGCACACGTATGTTTATTGCAACACTATTCACAATAGCAAAGACTTGGAACCAACCCAAATGTTCAACAATGATAGACTGGATTAAGAAAATGTGGCACATATACACCATGGAATACTATGCAACCATAAAAAATGATGAGTTCATGGCCTTTGTAGGGACATAGATGAAGCTGGAAACCATCATTCTCAGCAAACTATCACAAGGACAAAAACCCAAACACCACATGTTCTCACTCATAGTTGGGAATTGAACAATGAGAACACTTGGACACAGGAAGGGGGACATCACACACTGGGGCCTGTTGTGGGGTGGGGGTAAGGGGGAGGGATAGCATTAGGAGATATACCTAATGTAAATGATGAGTTAATTGGTGCAACACACCAACATGGCACATGTATACATATGTAACAAACCTGCACATTGTGCACATGTACCCTGGAACTTAAAGTATAATAATAATAAAAAAAGAAAAAAAAAGTAAGCAGAAAAAGAAAAAGGCTGAGAAAGGAGTGAACAGGGGGTTGAGAAGAAAATCTAAAGATCAGATTAGGTGTAGTTGAGGAGATATTAGTGAAATGAAAGTTTAACTAAAAGGATTTACCCAGAATATAATGTAGAGAAATAAAGAGATAGAAATTAAAAAAAAAAAGAAAGCTGAAGGATCACCTAATAAAAGTTTCAGAGGAGAAAAATGGAGAAACTGTGAAGGAAAAAATTTTGAAAGAAGCAATGACTGAGACTTTTTCATGATAGATACAATATATTAATGATCAGATTCAGAACAAATCCTAAGTAGAATAAATAAGATCAAACCTTAGACCTACCAAAATAATAGTGCAGCACATCAAGAAAAAGGAAAAAAGACACCAGGGATAAAAAGATTACTTTTGAATACCAAGAACACAATACCAGATTTCTCAACAGCAATGATAGAGACCAGACTACAATGGAATATATATTCAAGCTGTCCCAGGAAAACTAGTGGTTACCCTAAAAGTTTATACTCAACTAAACCATAATTTAAAACTAAGACTGAAATAAAGATATTTTCAGATAGACATAGGCAAAAGTGTACCACTTACAGAATGCCATTGAAAGAAATGACAAAGAACGCACATCAAGAAAAGAGAATTCAATCCAGGAGGAAAGTGGGGGAAAATAAAAAATAATGGCTGGCAAATACATAGAAAAATATGTCCACATAGAGAAAAAAATAATGGCCAAGAATATGAACAAAGAGTATGTTTTAGTTTAGGTTGATTTAAACACAAATTGGAACTAAAACAAATCAAAGTAGTATGAATATATAAAATGATGAGGTGGGTAGTGATCAAAGTAAAATAATATTCTAAGATTCTTATACTTTAGAAAAGAAGATATAATTATGGTTTAATGTTAAGCATTATTTTGGCAAGTAAGAGTGTTAAAAAATCTAATGTTAACACTAAAAAGTAGAAATAAAATGTACAACATAAAAAGTAGAATGAAGAAAATATCAAACAGAAGGTAGAAAAGAAGAATGAAAAAGCAAAAATAAAAAAGCGATAAAATACAACAAAAACTAGTAATTATAAAGCACATAAGATGAAAAAGAATAAATTCAAATGGATCAGTAACCAAAATAAATAGATATTAAATAAACTTAGTTCAGAGACAGAAACTTAAAATGCATTGAAAATAACAGCTGCTTACTGTTTAAAAAACTATTAAAACATAACAACGGAGAAGGTATTTCAAGAAAGGAATGAAGAAAGAGAAATTAGGCAAATACTCAGAAAGGCCAACTGGCATAGTTGCATTGATTTCACATAAAATACACTTTATGGCAAAAAGAAATATTAGAGATAAAATGTGTAATACACAGAACAATTCACTAGGAAAACAATAATACTTCACCTGTATTTCCTTAACAATATTGTTGCAAAATACATAAATAACTTGAATTATAAAGAGAATTTGACAAAAGCCAATATGGAATTTGACAATTTTAACATAGATAGGTTAATATCTAATGTATTAAACAAATGAAAGCAATACTAAGACATGGAAGATTTAGAAAAAAAGATAATATTACTTAATAGATAATTACGAAACCCTAGCCAGAACAGTCAGTGAATCAATATTATTTCAAACACATGGAACATCTACAAGAATTGATCACCAAGAAAGTCTTAATAAATACTAAGGATTTAACAGCATACAAACCACACTGCAACAAAAGTAGAAATAATAAAAAAAAACTCCTAATTCCCAAACCAAGGCTTAGAAAATTTATAAATACCCCTTTAAAAATAGATGGCTTAAAGAAGAAATAATAAATATACATGTTTGACGTGGTGAGAACACCATATATGTTTTGTGGGATATATCTACAGCAGTACTTAGAGGAGTAGTCATAAGCTTAAATGCATATATCAGAAAATAAGAAAAGTTTAAAAAGAATGAACTAAACTTGAAACTTAAGATGCTAAGATTTTTAAATATAATATTAATTTATTAGAAAGAAGCTTCTTCTATTTGAACAGAAATTAATGAAACATACATATTAGTTACAATAAAGATGATAACAGGCAAAAGTTGAACTGTTTTACTTAGAGGAGTAGTCATAAGCTTAAATGCATATATCAGAAAATAAGAAAAGGTTAAAAAGAATGAACTAAACTTGAAACTTAAGATGTTCAGATTTTTAAATATAATATTAATTTATTAGAAAGAAGCTTCTATTTGAACAGAAATTAGTGAAACATACATATTAGTTACAATAAAGATGATAACAGGCAAAAGTTGAACTGTTTTGTTCAGGTTTGCACCTTGAGCAGGAGATAGTCAGGAGTGTGGAAGGATAAAATAGTAAAGAACAAATCGAATTATGTTCTTGCTTCTTTCCTTCCATTTCCTTGAGCTAAATAATGCCTGTCCTAAGAGGTGCAGTGACTCAGAGCTCTAGTTCTGATATCCACAGAAGTAAATCAGGGTGGTACAAAGCCCTATGCTTTGTGGAATGATAAAAAATAGAAGGACAACCAGCAAGCTTTATGAAGTCTTTTCTCCACAGCGTTTGCTCCAAATCCCTAGACTGATAATTTCCATGTAAGGTTCTGAGCGTTTTTTGTGCCATGAACTCCTCTGACAGTCTAGTGAAGCCTATAATTTCACCTCAAAATATCGGTGAACATTAGAAGCATAACTAGGCTGGGTGCAGTGGCTCAATCCTGTAATCCCAGCATTTTGGGAGGCCGAGGCAGGCGGATCCCTTGAGGCCAGGAGTTCGAGACCAGCCTAGCCAACATGGTGAAACCTCGTCTCTACTAAAAACTAAAAGCTAAAAAAATAAAATAAAAAAGCCAGGAGTGGTGGCGCATGCCTGTAATCCCAGCTACTCAGGAGGCTGAGGCAGGAGAGTCGCTTGAACCCGGGAGGCAGAGGTTGCAGTGAGCCAAGATCACGCCACTGTACTGCAGCCTGGGCAGCAGAGTGAGACTCCATCTCAAAAATAAAAATAAAAATAAAGTTAGAAACTAGAAAAAGAGGCAATCACTAGCACTACTCAACATTACACTGGGAGGCCTTGCCAGATTTCTGAGAGGTTAAAAAACAAACAAAAAACAAAACAAAAAGATAAGACCTAAAGAAAGAAATGTGACATTTCCTGGACTATTTAGCCAAATTAATGTCAGAAAAATATATAAGGAAAGATATGAAAAGAAAAAACTAAATATTGTTATTTTCAGATTATTTGATTACCTATGTAGGAAAAAGTATCTGCAAAAAAGTATTACGGGATTCTATGTAAATATATAAAAATCAGTTGCATTTTATTAGGAAATATGCATTGTAAAACAATGTCATTTCTAATAACTATTTTAAAAGATGCCTCAAAGTAAGTCCTTCAAAACCATACAAGAATTCTTTGCAGAAAATTATGTAGCTGGACTGAAGGACATGAAAGATGAACTGAAAATATTAAGAGAGAAACCATGTTCATAAATGGAAAGAATCAATATTTTAAACATGGCAATTTTTCTTACATTAATGTAAATTCAATACGACTCCCAACAAAATTCTAGCATAATTTTTTATGGGACTTGAAAAATTAATCCTGAAATTCAAACGGAAGAGAAAGTAAACATAAGCACAACAATTTTTGAAGGAGGGAAAAGAGGATTATTAATTAAATTATTATGCTATTTCCTATAGTTTTTTATAATCTGTGTTATGTGTATATGGCTAAAGTCACTAATATGGTTTGGCTCTGTGTCCCCATTCAAATCTCATTTGTAGCTCCCATAATTCCCACATGTTGTGGGAGGGACTCAGTGGGAGATGACTGAATCATGGGGGCGGGTCTTTCCCAGGCTGTTCTGGGTCTCACAAGATCTGATAGAGTTAAAAATGGTAGTTTTTGCACAAGCTTTTTTTTTTTTTTTTTTTTTTTGCCTGCTGCCATCCAAGTAAGGTATGACTTGCTCCTCCTTACTTCCCACAATGATTGTGAGGCCTCCCCAAGCATGTGGAACTGTAAGTCCAATAAACCTCTTTCTTTCAAAAATTGCTCAGTCTTGAGTAAGTCTTTATCAGCAAAGTGAAAATAGACTAACAGTCACTGACTTATAGAGTGGAAGGGGCCCTTGCAGAACATCTAGTTCAGTAGAAAAACACAGAAACTGAGGGTAAGACAAGCCATTTGGTCCACACCCCTAAGAAACAAAAGCATCACATGTCACTCCTCTATCACTATCACTGTTCCTTTGAGTCATATAAATGAACAGATCAAAGGGTATGTCCATCTTCAGTTTCATTAAACTTTGCCTGAAATGTAAGAATTTATAATACGATCAGCAATACGCTTTAAATTTTTACCAGTCTTGATGCTTGTAGAGTTAAATATCTTTTCATAGATATATTGGCCTATGTCTTTTGTTCCATCTTCATTCTCCTTTTAGAGTTTATTTCTTATTGACTTGAAGGAGACTTTTAATATGAATATTTTGCTTATTAAGATTCTAAGAGAAATATGCATTGCATCTACACTCAGTCTGTGAATTTTTTTGCCAGCTTTGCTTGCGGGCCCTTTAAAAATGTGTTTCTAGCATTTTAATGAATCTTATTTATTATTTCTCTTACACATTCCATCTTTTAAATTTTGTTTAACAAATAGAAAATTTTTAAGAGAATTTATAACAAATCCATCCCTCTCCCCATGATCAAAAAGATATTTTTTCCTAAAATGTTTCAAAGTTTGAATTTCACATACAGATCTTAAATCCATTTGGATGTGATTTTGTCATCCATTAAGCATGTATTTTTCAATATAGGTGGTAAAATATCCCAGCATCATTTGCTCAGTGAGCAACTCTTTCCCCACTGCTTTGTATATCTTTTAAATACACATAGGTTTAAGGTTTTTTCCTGCTTAATTGATCTACTGTTTATTCTTATGGTGATACTATATTATTTAATTTCCTATAGCCTTTTATAATCTGGGTTATCTGTGGAAACATCTGTAGTTAAACATCTACGACAAGATGTTTGAATCTACTAGCATCAAGATTAGTAAAAATTTAAAGCCAGAAATAATTGGGAGAAATGATAACTCTCATGTACTGCTGACTGTATTATAAACTGTTACATTTCAGGCAAAGTTTAATGAAATTAAAGATGGACATACCCTTTGATCTGTTCATTTATGTGGTTCAAAGGAACAGTGATAGTAGTAGAGGAGTGACATGTGATGCTTTTGTTTCTTAGGGGTGTGGGCCAAATGGCTTCTCTTATCCACAGTTTCTGTATCTTCCTAGTGAACTAGATGATCTGCAAGGGCCCTTCCACTCTATAAGTCAGGGGCTTTTGCCATACATGTATCAGCAAATCTTTTTTCTCCAAGTGGAACAACTTCTTAAGACTTAAAAAAATAAATTTTAAATAAAGTTGCTCACATTTTAAAATGTTCAATATCATTAACTTTGTCTTTAACTGTTTGTAGATTCTATATTTTCTCATTTAAAAATTAAATGTATTTATTAAATATAACATCTGGTATGTTTGAATGATAAACTGTTATCCTTTCATTTAAAATTGTGGGACTAGTAGAATAACATTAATTATATTAATTTGTGGATTTTCCAATTAATGCTAATTTTCTACACAATCTATAACAATAACATCATACTGCTTTGACCTTCATGAAATTCTACCCCCTCCTATTGAGTTATAAAAAGTCAGAAAGGCTAATTTACATGTTTAATGAAAAAGACTGTCACAAAATGTAACTATTATAAGTGTGTTAACCACTATATCCTGATATGAAAACTAGAATCTCTTAGTATTTTTTAAATTACATTTTGGAAGTTTAGAATCTGTTTTTCAAAAAGAAAAAACATAAACAACATCAAAAAGATGTGTTCAATTATTGAGGAGCTTTTTACCAAGAATATCTGTGTAATAGGTAATCTATAGTTCCCAAAACATGAGTACCACAGAATCAACTACTGGAGGTTGGGAGGCTTAAAAGACTGGATATAAAACAGGAAGTGAAGTGATTTGTATCTTCTCTAAATTCTACCACTGATTACGAGATCTATAACACATTTAAATTCTAAGCGATTTTATTCCTACCAATGAGAAAGGGTATCAAAGTAGACGTTTTTTGTCCTAAGTTACCCTTCTAATTCTGGGAAGCCTAAGATTCTGTCCATGTAATAATAGTTGTTAATAATTAAGGACATTGTCTGCCTACAGTTTTAGGCATTCAGGAAATTAGAGTGTTCTTATCAGGTTTCATGGTCTTCTTAACCTAGCTCTCATTAGACTGCTTTTCCTTCATGTCTGTTAATAATTCTGGTTTTCTCCCTCACTTCACTCAGCTCTCTCTGCCCAACTGTCATCGTCTCAGAATGATCTTCCCTCACCACTGTATCTAAAATAGCCTCCGAGAGAAATGTTCAAAAAATTAAGAGACCATGTTAAAATATAAAGGGATTTAGCAAATTTTTAAATTGAAATTTCTACATCATATTTTGAGAAAAATCAAGAAATGTTTTATAATTTACAGAAGCAGGAAAATCTATCCAGGAAATTTCTGATAGTGTATTGAAAGTGTGGAGATGGGGCTGGGAGTGAAGGTAGGAATTTGAGAGTACCAAAACCTGAAGAGATCAGATCCACCTGGAAAAAAATTAATGTGTTAAAAAATTATATCACATGGTAAACTAGTAATTTCCAAAGTACTCTGGAAAGAAATGTTGACGTCCTCCTCTCACACATATAAAGGAGAAATGTAGGTGTATCAAAGTGTAATTATAAAAAATGTAGACATACAAGCACTAGAAAGGTATACAGATGACTGTAATCTAAACATGAGAAAGGCATTTCCATATATGCTATCAAAATGAAAAATAACACATGGAGGACCACTTGACTTGATTACACCCAAGTGAACATCATCAAATATTACCACAAACAAAACTGAATGATCAATGTCAATGTAGGGAGAGTGGAGAGGGATTTGAAAAACAAATTGCCTATGTGTAAATAACAAGAAAGATAAATGATAAAAGACCTCAGCAATTCATAAAAGAAACACAAATGAATAACAAACATAAAATGTGTCATTTTAATATCAAAGAAATAAAAATTAAAGCACCAATGAAATATAATTTTGTCACTTACCAAAGTGTCAAAGATTTTTTTAAATGAAAATATTCATGCTAATTAGTATGTGATGAATTGAATACTGTCACACTCTGCTGGTAAGAATGCAAACTGGAATAATAATATTCCTGGAGAGCAATTTGTTTGTTTTTTAAAAAGCCTTAAAAACCATATGATTTAATTGAATAATTTCAACATCTAAGCAGCTACCTTAAAAAATGTTCAAAATGCCTAACAATGACCATAATATTATCTGATATAATAAATTACTTGAATTTTCAAAGTAAACAAAATAGGAGACTTATTTAGCATATGATACATTCATATGAAAATATTACATCCAAAACAAATGAAGAACAAAGTCATATTGAAGATTATGTAAAGAAATATGATTCTAATCAAATGTTAAGTGAAAGAAACAAAATATACAAGTTTATTTAATACTTGATCCAAATTTTGTAAAATCAATTAACATATTCATAAGAAGGATGGAAGGAAGTAGACCAAAATGAATAATCGTTATTAGTTCTGCATTGCAGTTTATGTGTAATATTTAGTTTCCTTTCAATCTTTTCCATGATAATTTTATATTAGTCAGAAAATAATTTTTATTTTAAAATAGGAGACATTGAACAATAAATATTTGTTTAGTTGTTATAAAACATTACCAAATCCTGTCAATTCTGACAAAAACCTTTAACCCTGTGTAAATAATCTCTCTAAAATAGCATATATTTATGGCATAACTATTGTGTTATTGGGGGCACAGATTCTGGAACCAAACTGCCTTGATTTGAATGCCAGCTTTCTATGCCTCAATTTCCTTATCTGAAAAATCAGAATACCACTAGTCTAATAATAACAATTATATCTATCTAAAGGCATATTTGTGAAGATTAAATGAGTTAATGTATGTGAAGTATTTAGAAGAATACCTGACACATGATAAATGCAATTTAAGGGTTTGTGTAGACACACATACACGTACACTCATTGTGCTTATGAAGCACTTATTATTCATACCCAATTGATCTTACTTTACTTCTTCTGAGATGAGCAAAGTTAACTAAACTATGTGGAGTTTGGCTACAGTCTAGATAGTTTCAAAGAACCTATACTTAATAAATTCATGTGACATTTACCCAAAGATCTTAGAGATCTAGACAAGTGATTGACTAATTGAGTGGAATAATTAAAAAGCTAAAGCTATCACCTAGTTGAATTACCTAGAGATTTCCTATTGATTAATTAAAAAATTTACTACATTTACTACCAATTTAATGAGACTAAATCCTGTTGATGTCCTTGATTGGGTAATTATGTAATGAGATAAGGAAAGTAACTGCTATAAATCTGTCTTAGTATTATCCAGACCCCATGAGTAACATCTTGGATCTATTCCTCTTTTTATATTCTCCACTGGTTTATTCAAATCTGAGTGCATACGTGCAAACCATCACCAATATAGCAGGCTCATCTTTAACATATTTTAAAACTAGGGAAGGAAAAGTGAGTTTTGGTTTATTTTACGTTTTCTATTCAGTGAGAGTTGGACAATTTCAATAGAAACCCATTCGTCATTTCTTTTCCAGGAAGCAAGTCATACATTTGTCTTCTAGATCACTTTAATGTCCTTCATCTGATTCTCAGTCTATGACTCCATAATGCAATACCTTGTTTGTGGCTAGCACCGAGAATCACATGTTTTGCACATTTCATTTGTACAAATAAAAAAGGGGGGAAAAAAAGAGGACCAGAGAAGAGATGTTGCCTAAACACATACAAGCAAAATGCAGCAGCACTAGAATATACTCCAAACCGTCTGAACTAACTCTAGTATCTTTTCAACTGTCTTAAATAATATATGCCCAAAATTGTCCATCTCTTTACATATTCAGGCCAGCTTTCTTTCTGGTTCTCTTCAATGACAGTTGGAAATCATCATCGTCTGCAAGTCCCTAACTTGACTCTGATCCTTCTCACTTTAACAACTTCTCTTTCTACTTTACAACTCTACAAAAAAATAAAAATAAAAATAAAGATGGTTATGTGTTTACTCTCTTACACTTAGGCCCTCTCTCAAATTATACCAATTTTTTTCTTTATTGTTCATATTGTTCATATAAGTTCATAGCTCTTTTTCCCTGTTGTTGTCAGTTTTTTCTTGTTTTCCCATCTCATCTCCATTTCCTGTGGTCTTGTCTGGGGTCTCTATAATGGTTTTTCACCCTCTCCTCTGTCTGTGATCTGAGACAGGCACATGGCCAATGAAGGTCATGCACAGAACTCCTCTGGGTTGATATACCAACACTGGGAGTGGAAGAGTCTTTTCCCTTGAGGCTAAAATGCAAGTAGAATCCGGACATCACAGTGACCATCAAACTAATGACACAAAGAAAGCCTGTCTACAAAATTAAGCTAGCACCACCAGATTTCACGATTGTGATAACTAGGCTCCTTTGTATCCAGCTCTATGGAACCAGTTCTATTCCTGACCTACCCAATTATGAGAGTCAACACATTCCCATGTTTGTTTATATATTCTGGCTTGGGATTCTATAATTTACATCAGTTGTGGCCCTTTTCCTCTCTTCCTCACTCTTTTATTTTCTTACTTCCTTCATCCTCACTCTTGCCCAATGCCACACATATAGCCACCTGTATTCTAGTTCTCATGCCTTCCATCTCCTCAGGAACCAAGCCATTCCATCATAGCCCTTATTTTTATGTCTTCAAATGATGCCTTTCTATTTAGTATTTTTCCACTGCATGCAAACAGCCTTGTTTATTTAACAAACAAACACAGACATCTTTTATAGTATATCCTGTTTTACCTATTTCCTTCTCCAAGTAAGACTTTTGAAAGAATAGTCTATACTCATTTCCTCTAGTTCTTCAACTGATATCAACCCTGATTATTACATTGAAATGCCTCATGTAATAGTCAGATTGAAGTACTATTTTCCACATCCAATTTTCTTTCTTTTTCTTTTTCTTTTTTTTTTTAATCGAGACACGGTCTTGCTCTGTCTCCCATGCTGGAGTGCAGTGGTGCATTCTCAATCTCAGCTCACTGCAACCTCTGCCTCACAGGTTCAAGTGATTCTCATGCCTCAGCCCCTGGAGTAGCTGGGATTATTTTTAGTAGAGACTAGGTTTCACCATGTTGGCCAGGCTGGTCTCGAACTCCTGGCCTCATGTGATCCGCCCTCCTTAGCCTCCCAAAGTGCTGGGATTACAGGTGTGAGCCAATGTGCCCAGCCCAATTTTCACATTTTGTCCTTGTTTCACTTGGCCTATTTCCAATACATGACATTGTTCATTGTAAAAAATTTTTTTAATTTTTATTTTTAAGTTGCAGCATACATGTGTAGGATGTACAGGTTTGTTACATAGGTAAACATGTGCCATGGTGGTTTGCTGCACCTATCAATGTATCACCTAGGTGTTAAGCCCTGTATGCATTAGCTATTTATCCTGATGCTCTCCCTCCCCACTCCCTACAGGCCCCAGTATGTGTTGTTCCCCTCCTTGTGTTCATGTGTTCTCATTGTTCAGCCCCTACTTATAAGGGAGAACATGCTGTGTTTGGTTTTCTATTCTTGCATTAGTTTGCTGAGGATAATGGCTTCCAGATCCAACCATGTCTCTGCAAAAGACATGATCTCATTCTTTTGATGCCTGCATACTACTCCATAGTGTATATGTACCACATTTTCTTTATCCAGTCTATCATTTATGGGCATTTGGGTTGATTCCATGTCTTTGATATTGTGAATAGTGCTACAATGAACATATGCATGCATGTATCTTTGTAACAGAATGATTTATGTTCCTTTGGGTATACACCCTTTAATGGGATTGCTTGGTCAAATGGTATTTCTGGTTCTATATCTTTGAGGAATTGCCACGCCATCTTCCACAAACGTTGAACTAATTTACATTCACACCAACAGTATAAAAGCCTTCCTATTTCTCCACAACCTGGCCAGCATCTATTTTTTCTTGACTTTCTAATAATTGCCATTCTGACTGGTGTGAGATGGTATCTCACTTAAACAAATTTACAAGAAAAAAACAACCCCATTCAAAAGTGGGCAAAGGACATGAACAGACACTTCTCAAAAGAAGACATTCATGCAGCCAACAAACATGAAAAAAAGCTCAACATCACTTATCATTAGAGAAATGCATGATGAACTTCTTAATCTGCCTCTAGCTTCCATGCTTCCATTTTCTTTGGGTTTCTCTCATTATTCAGTTTCAGATCCCTTCAGGAGGTCCCTTTCTACCCTTTCTGTGCTTGTCCCTTACAAATCTGTCAATACTAAAGGTTTCATTATTTTTTTTCTTTTTTTGAGACAGGCTCTTGCTCTTTCGTGCAGTTTGGAATGCACTGGCAGGATCATAGTTCACTGTAGCCTCGAATTTCTGGGCTCAAGTGATAAACTTCAGCCTCCTGAGTAGTTAGGACTACAGATACTGGCCACCATGCTTGGCTTTTTATGTTGTTGTTTTTTTTCCATAGAGACAAGGTCTCACTATGTTGCCAAGGCTGATCTTGAATTCGTGGCCTCAAGGGATCCTCCCGCCTCAACCTACCAAAACGGTGGGATTACAGACATGAACCACTGCACCTGGTCAGGGTTTCATTCTTGACCTCATCTCACTTTTCATGGCTTCACCTTCCACCTATATGTAAATGACACCATTTACATTACATTGCATTGACACCCACTTACATTACATTGTTACTAGAAATGACATCCCATTTCTAGTCCAGATCTCTCCCCTGAACACTGAGCAATATATCCAACTGGCTGCTGATGCTCATTTCACTAGGTCATTAAAGATAACCCCACTTCAACAAATCAAAACATGAATTTTTCATACTCTTCTACAATCTGTTCTTCCTCCTCCCTTCCTTCTTTATCTTAATCAGTGTCGCCATCACCCTTTCAATTGCTTCCACAACTACGTTGACTCAGTTAACAACCTAGACCCCTTCTTTCTCCAACACATAATCAATCTATAATGGAGAATGGTAGATCTTTCTTCCATTCTACATTCAAATAAATACATTTTCTATCTCTTGTAATATACTGAAATGTTCTATTATCTATTATCTAAATGTTCTCTCTATCTCTAGTAAAGACCCACCCACTTACCCTTCATGGAAATGTCTAAATGATGGCTCAAAATGCAACCGTACCTTGCCACTTCACTTTAAGAATGGATAAAGCAGATTCCTTAGTGTAGCACAGGAAGACCCTTTATAACCTGGCCTTACTTCTTCAGTCTCATCTCCATCACCTATGACATCTACTCATTACACAGTTCCCCAAACGCTCTATATTCTTCTATGACTCCAGACCTTTACCAATTCTGGTCGTTCATTCTGAAACCTACATTCCAGTGTTAAATGGGCTCATATATACCAAAAAAGGCCACAATTTTTTGGAGCAGTTTTAAAATAGATGATAAATAGATTTATAATTATGTATGTAGTTATCTTGCCTGATTGTTTTAACTCCTAAAAGTTACAACATTAAACTTATCCAAATTTTTCTCCCACATACAGAATAATATAAGGAAACTCATTTTTAAGCACCTTATTATAAAATTTTGACTTTTTGCTAATGCTTCCTTCAAAACTTATTTTCAACATCTAGCATTAGCACCATCTCTAGAGACAGAGTCCCCACTCAGGCAGCACTCTGCTGATCTAAAGAAACCAAACTTGCTTTTGAGTTGAATTATGTCTACTGGCCACTTGGGATGTTAGTTGTCTTCTTGGCCTTCTCCTTAGGTAATTCTCCAGCTTGTCTTACTCTACTCTTAAATAATCAATATTTATAAGGCACTGTAGCCAGAGAACTACAGCCATAAAATATCATAATACAATGTTGACTTCAATAATTTCTTAAAGAAGAAAATGACTTGCTTCCTTCCTTTCATCTCATTAACTGTACTCTCTTAAAGTGCAGTGCTTGTTTAGTTAATAAATAGACCCAATTAATAGACCCAATTAACTGATTTTGAACAACATCTTGCAGTTGTTCTCTTTTAGAAACTGACTCAAATGCAAGGATTAGAGTATTTACATCACATCCAAAAATTTTGTAAATCTGATTAAGAGTGATGTGCTTAGTTCAAAGAGATAAAACATACTTGAGGAATGATTAGTGGTAATTGCTATGCAATAAGTGATCAGTCATTAATTAACTCTTGCTAAAAATATTTGTTGAGCTCCCACCATGTATCAGTCATCATATAAGGATCTGGGGATTCACTGGCAGACAAGATGAAGTATTTGCTCCCAAAAAGGTTTGCTTTTTGTTAGAATTATAAGAAAAAAATTAGCAAACCATATAAGATGCTGAAGTTTTGGCAAGCTGATTTTAAATCTTATATTTTGTTTAAGATTTGGAAATAAAAACAGTGACAAATAACTTTAAATGTTTGAGACAGCATGTTAGAGAGCTCAGTAATCAGATGCTAAATAGTGAATATATAAATGTACACATATATACACAGAGAGACTATATAGTTATTATTTCTTTTAAAGGATTTTGATAATCAGAAAACAAAAGAATGATTCATTTAGAAAAAAATTTAAAGCATATATGAATAACTTGTTATTCATGTATAAATAGCTTTGACTGCCCTAACAAGTAATTGAAATAACGTTAGTTTAGAAATTATATATATTTCACAAACTTTAGTAATTACAGAGGTGATGAGTTGGAAATTAATTAGTAAGACACTTCTTTTCTATGTTGGAAAATCTATTAGCCAGAGTATAAGTTTATATTGGTAATTTTGATGCTGCATCTAAGATAATATAAAAACTATTTTTAGATTG
The DNA here is from genome assembly GCF_000001405.40 of Homo sapiens. NCBI lineage: Eukaryota > Metazoa > Chordata > Mammalia > Primates > Hominidae > Homo > Homo sapiens. The sequence goes on along the minus strand of NC_000003.12, from coordinate 173,475,036 downwards.
CATAAAATTTCATAGTATCAGAATCATAGTAGCTTGTTATGTATAACTTCTGTCTTTTCTTTTTTTCTTTTTTTTCCTTGAGACAGAGTCTCACTCTGTTGCCCAGGCTGGAGTGCAGTGGCGGGATCTCCACTCACTGCAACCTCTGCCTCCCGGGTTCAAGCAATTCTCCTGCCTCAGCCTCCTGAGTAGCCAGGATTACAGGCGTGCACCACCATGCCCAGATAATTTTTGTATTTTTAGTAGATACGGGGTTTCACCATGTTGGCCAGACTGGTCTCGAACTCCTGACCTCGTGATCCACCCACCTCGGCCTCCCAAAGTGCTAGGATTACAGTTGTGAGCAACTGCACCCAGCCCAACTTCTGCCATTTCTTAAGCATATTTAATAATAACATGCATATTTTATACTGAAACTAACCAAGGAAAACTGTGACAATCAGTACATACATATTAATCAAACTATATGTCAGAATAACCTCATATTAGGCAAGTGATTCTCAGGTTTTCCTTTTCTCATAAATAATTTTGAACATTTCATTTAAGTGCTGCATATTTGCATATGAGAATATATAGTTTGTATACACACACACACATATAGATATAGATATTCTTAAGAAATTGAAGGGTTTGGGGCTTTTTTTTAGGAAGATGCAACGCTTCACAGAATAATTGCCACTTTTCCAATCTGTGAATTTCAGTATTGTTTGTTAATTCCGGTTTACTTTCTTTGTTCTCAGTTCTAAGAAGGAGAAGTCTTTCATGAAGTACTGAAGATTCTACCCCATGCTAGTTCAGAGTGGTCTGAGGACTCTCAAATAAAAACAGACTAGAATTCAGAAGAAGAAGGAGAAGGAGCAAGAGGAGGAAGAGAAAGAAAAACAGAAGGAAAAGGAAAAGGAGGAGGGGGAGGCTGAGGTTGAAGAGGGTGAGGAGGAGCAGGAGGAAGAAAAAAAAATACACCCAGTATTAAAAAGTTCAACTGAGACCTGGCCTAGGCTAACAACATATTTTCTTTCTAGCCCTGGGTTTGAGGCTAACGCTGGCACTCTTTTTATTGCTACTAGAAGAAATTTAATAAAGTAAAAGCAGCCCTGTGCCAAATTACTGCAGAGACCAACATTCTTAATTTTCAGAGGTAGGAAATCTGCCGTCTCATTAAAGAAGAAGGCTGTGTTATTCGCCCGCTAGCATCTAGCAGCTGTAGTGCACACAGAAGGCTTGTCCTCCTGACCAGCAAAATGATGCAGAGAAGTTGACTTGAGATTATTTATTTGGGAACTGAGTAGGAAATGCACACTTTAAAATACACCAGAAATTACTGCACAATGCAAAAAATAACGTATTGTTTTATTATACAATATTTTCATTTATAAACAGCCAATTTGGGATAGGGAGAATGAAGGTGAAAAAAGAAAGAGTTTTCTGAAATAGATCATGCTGCATCACTGTCTGAGAAGAGTACTACCCAAAGCACACAGTCCTCAAACAGCAACTATTTTAGTGAAGTAAATAGTTCTGTCTTCCTGAACTTCAAGGTCCATATTTGAAGGTTAAAAAAGGGAAAGTTGAATTCATTCTAAACATCTTTTCTGCAAGTCAGCATTTCAATGCTCATTTCCCACAGTGGGGGATTAATCTCTACTTTTAACCCAATGGTCAATGATCCAAATGCATAGAGAAAATAAAGTCTTCTTTGAAGTTATGTTTCATTACTCTAGAAAGGCCAGGTACTCTTGCTGAGACAGTTCATATTCTCAACTTGCAGTATTATCAAAACATTTTCTATATTTTCGTACTGTGTGATAGCTTGAATTCACAAATTCAGAGACATAACATTTACATTTTTATAGGAAATCTTAATATGAAGGTTTTAAAAGCAATAATGGACTTATGTGGGATTTCTGTTGTGGGGTTACTAACATGATGTCTATTGAGGATTTTGAATTCTCACTGCACAAAAAAATTCTTATACTTGAAAATAAGCTTTATACACAATTGCCAGATTTGATTCCTCAATATATTTATCTTTTGTGAAATAAATATGAATCTCTGAGATACTGTGCTTCTGATGGAATTTATAGGCCAACACTGTTTAATTATTCATGATGCAAGATCCGTAAAGCCAACAGACTCCTAAAGGGGCAGATTAAAACAATTCACTTATGCCATTTGGGTCAAACACTCAGGGTTGAGTCAAAATGCCTTACATAGTACAGACAATTCTTTTTTAGGTCGACAATTGAAAAATGCTGAGAAAAAAGATGCTATAGTCGCAGTAATTAAATTCTTCAAGCACTTGTGTCCTCATGACGTTTTTTATGTATTCCCACCCCAGGTTAATAATATTCCTTTGTTAGTAATAAAAAGGGAAAGTATTAATGTCAGTCAGAAATATTGAATACAGGATAATTTTAATAAGTCCAAGGGGGTTGGTGATATTAATAAATTCCTTCTACCCAAGGCACAATACTAGATACTGAGAGTTTCTCAAGGTTAACTCAAATACAATTTGATAAGTGAAACTATTCTCCATTTTAATTATTTAATATAATTTCTAACTCTGCAAATTGTACTCCTGAAATATACTTTCTAAGCAAGGAACATCATTTCTTATATGGCTCACATTTAAACTTTCTATACGAGGCAAGATTTTGGAAGGTAAAACAATGAAATCATTCATAAAGACATTATGACTAAGGATAAAAATAATAGAAATGGCAGAAGTTTTTCTGCAGGTAAAACTAAAACAAAAAAAGTGGAGGAAACAGAGAGTAGAATATGTTTGTGGTCAAATTTTAAGAGATATTACCACTGGGCAGGGTAAGAAGCTAGGTATTTTCAAATTTCTTACTTTAATGTAATCAGCATCCTATTTCTGTGTTTGAGAACTGAGAATAGCGTGTGCATTACTTTACATATAATGACTTTTTCTTAAGGGAAGGATTGAATGTTCCCCAAGTCCCTAAATGCTATGATACCTCTACTGTTTGTCTAAATATTTTACTTCTGGTGAGTTTTATATTAACCCCAGCACTTCTACCTTAATAATCAGATTTGAATTTCTAGAATTCATTATCTTCTTTCTTGGAATGTCAACACTGCTAAAATTTGCAAACCTGCCTGCTTCAGCAAAGTTCAGGTTCACAATCATAAATCTATCTATTTAGATAGGAATTTCTCTAGTGCACAGGAATATCAAGTATCATAAATCTAAGTTTAGAAACATTAAGTGTTTCCTCTTAACACTTAGGTTCTGGAAAGCAGCATCAAAAACAATTTTCATTGGAGGGACAGTGAAGAACAAAAGCACATCTGTTGATATTCCATCCTTAATAAATGTTAAAGGCATTCTCTAAAAGTCTATTGTTATTAGTTGAATTATGTCCCTACCAAAATTCATATGTCAATATCCTAACCCCCCAGTACCTCAGAATGTTATTTGGAAATAAGGTCATTACAGACGTAATTATTTATTATGAAGTTGTGCTAGACTAGGTTGGGCCCCTAACCCAATATGGCCGACATTCTTATAAACAGGAAATTTTGACACAGAGCTACATACACAGATAGAACGCCATGTGAACACGAAGGCAGAGAATGGGTTGGTTTATCTACAAGCCAAGGAATGCCAAAGGTTGCCTGCAAACCACCAGAAGCTGAAAGAAAGGCAAGGAATAGATTGTTCCTCATAGCCCTCAGAAGGACCAATCCTACTGATGTCTTGATCTCAAACTTCTAGACTCCAGAACTGTGAAACAAAAAAATTTTGTTGCTAAATCCACCTAATTTGTTGTACTTTGTTACAGCAGCCCTAAAAAACCAATCTACCTGTAGATATATCACAGAATTTAGAAACTTAATGCTGACCCGAGGCAACAGTAGTACTTCAAAGTACAATGTCTTCCTTTAATAAATTTGCTGTAAGGATGCAGGCGTTTATTGTTGTTGTTGTTTTCTGGAGATCAACTAATTCTTTTATTTGATCCATTTCCTAGAAAGATAATTAGAATTTTTGTTTGCTCATTCCAGAGCATGCAAGCAGTTACAGGCTAAAGATTCCTTAGTGCAGATTCCACCTTTCTTTTAAATTGTGTGACTTTGAGATGTCTCTTGTACTCTACTCTGTCTAAAGAAGGGCATTACCTGTAGAGTTAGCAGTATTTATTATTCACAAGGTAGCTCTACTAACAGCAAGGCTGGAGATATGAAGATGAATAAACAAGGGTTTTCATCATTAAGAATCCCATAGCCTGCACTGGGAGATTGATAAATAAACACCTAATCAAAATATACTGAGCTGAGTCTTGCTAAAACTGTAGTTCACATGTTATTGAGTGCTTTCTATCTACCAAAGACTGTTTTAGACACTTGGAAATGTTCTCTCATTTAATTCTATAACAGCTTTAGGAGGTGTGTATTATTATTATTCTCATTTTACAGAAGAACAAACAGAAGAAAAGAGAAGAAAATTGCTCACATTCACATGGCTAACAAGTGACAGACCCATGATTTGGCAAGACAAACCCATGCTGTTAGTCCCTCTGCTACAAGCGCTACGTGTGTTTGGGGATAAAGGATGAGGTCAGGGAAGCAAAAACAAAAATATGTATTTAAGCTGGGCCATGGGTGAATTTCACAAGGAGAGAAAGAGAAATGTATATATCTGGAGGAAGAAATCCCCAAAAATATGATGATATGATGGCAGTCACTAGCAATCATAAGCAGTTCAGTGTGGATGGGGTTGATGAAAGAAAAAGAAATGGAGACAGCAGAAGAGGCAAGACAGGATGTTTAAAAACAAGGTGTGGTGCACACTGAATGCCCTTGCAAAGCAGTTAAGAGATTTCTCTGTTTAAAAAAGAAGTCCCCATTGGGTTTTGAGCATATTAGAGATACAATCATCTCTGTGTTTTAGATGCACCCCTGGCAGCTACTGAAAGAGGGCAAGTCAATTCTAAAGTTGAATCTGAGAACATATGTCCAGACCACACAGATGTCTGAGGGTCACCCTCAAATGCTTCAGAAAATAATTATACATATATATATAATCATATATAATTAACATAAAAGTATAATTATTATATATTGTATGCATATATAATAGAGAAGCAAATGAGGTAAATGTTTACAACAGATGAACTGGAGTAAGCATATGTAGGTGTTCTTTGTATTATTTTTATTTTAAAACTTCTTATAAATTTTAAATTACTTCCACATTAAGAAGTTTTGAAAAACACAAAATGTAGATTGGCGGCTACCAGGGTCTGGGAGGAAGGGGAAATAAGGATAGATTGCTTGATGGGTAAGGGGTTTTACTCTGATGTGTTGAAAGTGTTTTGGAACTACACAGACGTGGTGGTTACACACCATTGTGAATGCATTTTTTTTTTTTTTAGTTTTTAAAAGTGCATATGCCAACTTTCTGAGGACTTAACTCTGCTTCCTAGGCATCACCCAAATGTCAGTTAGCATCCATCTGCCTTAGGAATATTCTCCTGAATCGTAAAGATTGCTGGCATAAGTGATACAAGCCAAGGAACATTTTGAAATGACAAAGATTTTAATTGGCCAACTAAATATGCAATGGCCTGTGTAATCAGACTGCTTCCTTAGGAACTATTAGAAAAGGAGGGGATCATCAGTGTAACTTGGAGTAGGAGAACTAATTAACAATCTGGGAGGTATTGCTATGTTTGGGATGCCTACTTATGGTGAAAGCCTAGTTGGAAATTAACAAAGTTGCCCTCTTTGAAAAGAGATTTTAGAAACCATTTTAAAGGTACATTATCTTTTATAATAAAAAATAAATTATTCAAGACAAATTATTGTAATTTGAAAAAATTCATTTTACCAGTAAGAACTGGAAAAAATTTAAAAATTAAGGCTTTACAAGAAGTATCAATAGTGTATTATTTAAAATAAGTAGTGTTGCTTTAAGTATTGATAACAGTTTTATTTCTTCTGAATATTTGATCTCAAGCCTAATAAACTTCTGATGGAGACAGAACAGATATTACAAAACTTGTTTTTCATATGAAGACCACATATCCAGTAGCAGTGGAATCTGAAGCAGCTCATCCTGCAATACCCTAGTCACACACCAAGTCAGATCAGTTCCTCAACTCCAGAACACAGTTTCCTATTATGCACTGGCTTTTAATTCCATTGCAGTGGATAACTCTTAGAACAATTTTTTTTTATTTTCAGTTTTTTTAAACCATAATATGAAACTGAGTTGATTCAACTCACTTACTATAGATGTGCTATTTTTTAAAAGTCATTAAACGGACAGAACCTTCTTGATATCCCAGGAACTCTTTGTTTCCTTTTATTCCAAAGAAGACCTGGTCCAGGAAACACAAAACATGGGAAAACGTTGAATTCAAATATGCCAAATACTACTACTGACGGAAAAAGGTTATTCATCATATGAGGATAATGCACATCCAGTTTTTTTCTTTTTTAGGTAATAGAGTATCCACCTACATTGATGTGAAAATGTGCCTCACTCATTCAGATTTGTGTATTTGATGGCCTCAGTTCCCCAGAACATAGTAATGGGCCAGAGAGTAAGGCAGTGGTGATATAAAGGAATTTTATTAAAGTTTCTAAGCTTAACTACTTCAAGAGTTATTTTAGGCCCACAGACAGTTAATATTCTATTTTATATATACCATCCCAGAAGTTCCAAGAGGTTTGAAAATTAGGATAACTGGTGAAAGGAGAGGGAGATTCACTGAGAGAATATATGGCCACATGAATGAAACCACAAAAGCAGGCAAAGGAACAAAAAGAACATACACTAATCCAGTTATTTATTCATTGACCCAATCATTATTCATTGAATATTAATAAGTGCCAGACACCATATCAAGTGCTGAAGAGAGTAAGTTGAATAAAGCACAGCCCGCGGCTCTTAAAGTGCTTCCAGCCTAGAAGAGGGGCAGACATTCAGTGTGCAATCATGAACCAGTATAGTATGTGTTTGTCTGAGACATAAAGGTAATAAAAAGAAGAAAATGCATTATAGTGGTGGCAAACAGGCTTATGATCTTTAATAAATCACAGGTGCATCTTTGTATATGAATAAAACAAAAATTTACTCAAATTAACAACTATGCCTTAGATTGCCTGTGGTCACCACTAAACAGAAGTGAGTTTTGAAGCAAGGATTCTAAGGCCTTAAGTGATGGTGAAGCCAACAGATGGAAGAAGCCTTGATCTCTAAAGGACTGCATGGACTCATTGACTCACACTGAAATGTGAATGAGAGATAAACATTGTGTTAAGCCTCAACTTTGACCTAGTTATTTACTAAATAGTGACTATGTGTCATGGAGTGTTCTAGGTGTTACCCCATACATTATCTCATTTATCTCACTTATAAACATGATGATGACTGAATCATTATGACATGTAGCACATTGTTTGAAAACAATGATAAAGATGGCAATGTCTGCTGATGACAAGGAATACAGAGAGATGGGTACTCTCATACATTTCTAGTGAAAGTATTAATTGTCATACTTTTTCTGCAGGCAAGGTTTGACCAATTTGCACTAAAATTTGACCAACTTCATTAATTGTCTAAAACAATAACCTTATCTTTTGACCCACTAATTCCATTTTTAGGAATTTATAATTAGAAATGTCCTAAGGTAGAAAGAGATATATGAGGTTATTCTTTGCAGCACATTATAATTATGAAAAATGGAAGCAATGTAAATTACTATCGATAACAATATGTATATATTTAAAATGATTCTAGTGCACATATTTGACAAAATAGTACTGCCATTTAAAAAACATACATTTACAGAATATTTAATGATGTGAGAAAATGCTTGCAAATAAATTCATGTAACATATATTTGATTAAAAATATTTCAATTACTTAAAAATATACATGTAAGTAAGAAGATGGAATTAAATTAAATCATCTTGATAACACTGGTTTCCTCTGATGAGATTAGAAATATATTTTTATTTTCTCCTTTATATGTGTTTATTTTCAAATGTTATATAATGATCACGTATTATTTTGAAATTCAAAATATGTGTTATAAAAATAAAGAAGGCAACAAATTTTTGAATCCATTTTTGAAAGGTTTCCACATAAATTTGTTTAAATGAAAATGTGCTAGTGCTTGAATCTGTAAGTTTTATTAGGAAAATTCACTTAAATGAAACAGCTCATTCCCTGAAGACGTTAGGTAAGTGAGGTGTATTACAGCATTTCTAAAGTTGTCTACCATCTGTGAGTTTAATTTTAATTGTCTATGGTTTTCCAAATCTAAATTTAATATTGTTTTCACATGTAAATGTCTAACCATTTCACTTATGCTGATTAATTTGATAGCTTGCATTTCTCCAGTTTTTGGTTCCACCAAAAATATTCATCAATAAACAACTTCATAAAAGTTGCAAAATATTTTTCCTATTTTACATATGAATAAAACGAAGGTAGAAGCATGTTAATACACCTAGCATACAAAACAAAACACACCAGTACCAGCGCTCTGTTGCAGCCAACTCAGGAGCCTATTCTGCACCTCCTTCCCAACTCTACACCAGTGGTATTATCTTGGTAGCTAGAAATTGGCTACAGTACAGGAATATTTACAACTAGGAACTCCTCAAATACTCTATCAGGGCTTTTTATTTTTTATTTTTATTTTTTCCCAGTAAGCCAGATTACCAGCACAGCACTGTATATAACACAAGAGTGTGTTCCTTCTAATAGTGCTTAATTAGCCCAGGGCTAGGAGCCTGTTAAATATTCAAAACAGATCTCAGGCTCCACAGCTTAGATATCTTGGTTTTGATTGTTGACTGCTATATTCAAGCACCTAAGACAGTGTCTCTATACCACAATTGCTCAATGAATATGTCTTTCATCTTTTTACTAGACAACCTGAAAATGATGAAACTTTTCCCTCAAGTTACGCATGCATCATCCTAACTTGAACTTTCAGCCTTCACTAGAACCTGGTCTATTTATCTTTGTTTATAATTGTTGTCTTTCCACTAGTTCCTTAAGCTATTATCACATTTCTATTCTCATGTTTACTGACATGTAATCTAGCTCCCGTATCAACAACTCACAAGTCACCAAGTATCTTCTCATTAACAAGCCAAATATTTTCCTCCTCTTTATTTCACTTTCTCTGGAATACTTCACACTGTCGATGGAATCTTCTTTCTTGAAACTTCTTTCTCACTAGATGTTGGAGGCACTGGCATATTCCAACTGCATGTTCTACCATATTTTTCTTTGCCATTTTTAAGTTTTACTTTTCTTAATCTCTCAATATAACAATAGGATTTATGCAAAGTTTAACAGTCATCTTTTTCAGCTTATTGTTTGTGATTTCCTTTCAAAAATATGACTTCATCTCTTACCTCTAATCTAAAACATTCACTTCTATGAATTTTGTCTTATTATTTTCCGATGTTCATTCTGACATTTCTAACTACCTACTTGGCATTTCCGTTAAAAACATAGGCTTTACATCAAATTTGGCTAAAACCAAATTTATTATTTTTCTGACAAATGCCCTTTCTCAAATAACTTTTGTAATTTTGTGTGCTAGGGGGTGATGTTTCTGCCCCTTGCTGCCATAATTGTTCTCACCTACCAGAATCTCTTCCAGCACAAGCATTACACATTGCTGCAAGATGAGTCAGTTGTCCTGCAAAGCTCCTTCCTCCAAGAAGTTCTCAGCAACAACTAAAGTGGATTGCTCATTTGGGTGTTTTTCCTAAGCATTACATCTTCAGTGTTGGCTCTTGTCTACAAAAGCCAGAATCCTCTGTGATGCTGTGTCAGTTTCCTGAGTCGCAGGACACAGCACCCTGCAAGCATGGCAGCAGGCCAGTTAATTGAACAAGGCTTAATTATGTACTGATAACTTTGAAAATCTTAATTCCTCTGCGAGAAATGCCTAAGCGTATTATCAGGAAGTGGAATTATAAAATGTTTCCAGATCAAATTAAGCATCTACAGGTGAATTAATATAGAATTAAGCTTAGAAAGCTTAAGTAGAAGTTGAATGAATTGTGTTCATTCTTTGAAACCCATTGATTTGCAAAACCAATATTCCACTGTCTATAGGAGGCAATTCAGACTGAAAATAATTTAGAAAAAAAATAGTCCACAAAAAAAAATAGTTCTAGAGATAAATAGGTCATTTGAAGACTAACCTCTGCCATTAGGGGTTTCTAAAGATAGGCTGACTCTATCTATTTAATAATTATTTTGTTCATTAACTCCTTGCATATAGAATTGTAACTGATACCAGCCAGGTACGGTGGCTCACGCCTGTAATCCCAGCACTTTGGGAGGCCAAGGCGGGCAGATCACCTAAGGTCGGGAGTTCGAGAGCAGCCTGACCAACATGGAGAAACCCCGTGTCTACTAAAAATACAAAATTAGCCAGGCATGGTGGTGCACACCTGTAATCCCAGCTACTTGGGAGGCCAAGGCAGGAGAATCGCTTGAACCCAGGAGGCAGAGGTGACAGTGAGCCGAGATTGCGCCATTGCACTCCAGCCTGGGCAATAAGAGCAAAACTCCATCTCCAAAAAAAAAAAAAAAATTGTAACTGATACCATGGGAGGTGGTTTGATGAATAATGTGGATTTATACAAAATAGTGGTAAATATTAAGAAATAGCAGAGACTTGGAGTTAAGTAGTAGCCTAACTCTACCAGCATAGTTTTTGGGAAAACTTAGGGATTCCTTGATTTCTCTAAACATCAGTTTCCACATCTATAAAATTAGAGTAAGAAAGCTAATTTACAGGTTTACTGTGTGGATAGAGATAATGCACATATCATATCATGCTTCTCCATAGTAGACTTTCAGTAAATGCTATTTATTATTATTTATGAAGCTGAAGAGAATGAGCAGATATATATAGTAACAAAATGCCCTATATACCTTAATGCTTAAAGCAGTAATTCTCAAACTTTTTGGTCTCTCCATGTCTTTAGACTTTAGAAATGATTGAGGATGTTAAGAGGTTTTTTTTTAATATTTAGAATATCTCTATGGATATTTACCATAATATGCTTGAATTTTGAAAAATGTATATTTATGTATCAATTTATCTTTAAGTAACAACTATAAACCCATTATATATTAATATAAATGTTTTATATAAAACAATATTTTCAAAAACAAAATCATTTAGTGAGAAGAGCTGTGCCATTTTACACTTTTGCAAGTGTATTTAATGCTAGGATTAATATGAGACAGCTGGATTGCCATATCTGCTCCTTCATTCAATCTATCATGATACAGTGTTTTGCTTGAAGTATTAGAAGACAATCCACCCACACACAAATACATAGTTGAAAGGATACCAGGAATCCCGAGGGATCCTCTTATCACACTTTGAAAACTGCTTGCCTTAAGAAGTTAGCCAAGACATCTTCTTGGAAGAAGTGAGCCAATTCAACAATGACAACGATGATGATAATGACAATAACAGTATTAATAAATGAATGATAATTGGCAGAGACACTACAAGAGAACATTCTAGTCAGTGCTAACATTTGTAGTTAAGGTTGGAATGTGGAACTGAATGTACCACAAGGTCAGCGGGAGCAACAGATCTGTATGGAAGAGAGATGAAAAGAAATTGGAGATGGAATTTCAAGTGTGGGGAAAACACAGCGTTACAATTAAGAACAAGCACATTTTATGTATATTTTGTATTGATTTGTTTTCAGGTTGTTTACAATGAATAATGTTCTACTCATGTTTTTGAACAATATAATCCTTTTAAGGGAAAGTATAGTTTGAATTATTCAGAATAGTTAATAAGACTGATGTTTGGGTAGAGGTTACCTGTAGAGTCACAGACCACTTGCATACATCCTAGCATGCCCTACTGATCTCTAGCCCATAGTCTGGAAACAAATGATTTATTCTCAGAGCTAAATTGAGCAAATAAAGTGTCCCAGAGGGATTAGGACAAGGTGGAGATCCTGCCTCTCCTATATAAAGCAATTCAGCATGACCAGAGTTACAAATAATCCTCAAGAAAGATGTGAGGAATTAAAAAGTGAGTGACTGAAGGAAGCTAAGAAAACACAGACTGAATTTTGAAGAGAAGAACTAGAAAGAGGACTTACTGCCAAAATAAAGTCTCAGCAGAATATAAAACACCTTTTCTTGAATTTGTTTGGTACTGTCAAGTTCTCAATTCCTGCCAGATTTTTTTAAGAAAACAAATTAATGACAATTATTTTAAATGTAAACAGTTATCAAAATAGTACATAATAACCACTGCATGCAAAATAAGTTGAAACAGAAATAAATGATGGTAGAGACAGCAATAGAAGATTGTTGCACTGATATGAAAGCAAGGTAACAAGGCTGAAGGTTAAAGTCACCTGGGAGGCAGAGGTGTGTGAATTGGAGACTGGCTATGGTAAGACAAAAATCCAGGGGAGAAGGTGGTGGAGTCAGGGAGAAGGTGACTTTCTAATGAAATGAAGAATTCAAGGAAATGCACGCAAAAAGAGAGAGAGCCTTAAGTCCAGGAATTAAACTTTAAGGGACATTCAAAATAAATTAGCAAGAGGAACAAAAGCATTGAGGAGGATGGGGGTAGTAAAATCTAATGGAGAAAATTTTGTGAAGAAAAGAGTGGTTTGGAGGAGAAAGCTAAAAAGTTAAGAAAGGTAAAAACTAACAGTGTCATTGGTACCTTGCTTATTTTCAATAAAACTGCAAATATTTATTGAGCATGTAATATGTAAAAGGCACTCTTTTAGGAGCTTTACATCAGTGTTGCTCAAAATGGGGCCAATGGACTATTGCCAATGAGCCAACTATTTGCTATCAATTTGCAATGAGATAAGTAAAGAAATCTGAGCAAGCTTTGAAAGACTTTTATAGGAATTCAAAACAGTAACAGCACTGAACCTAATAATAAAAAATTCTATTTTTTACTTAATTTCTCTTACAATTGATTTTTGATGTTTTATCAGTCTGCAATTGATAATAACTTATAGAAAATGTTCATTCACCATAGATGGTTTGAGAAGCACAACTTTACAGGCTTTATCTGATTTCTTTTTCATGGCTATGTCACGAAATAAATGTTATTCTTATGTGAAATTTACAGGTGAAGATTTGAGGCACTAGGAAAACTGTCACAGCTACTAAGTAGTAAGACATTTAACCTATACAGGTAAGAAAAATTTGAAAAAGTAGGTGAGGAGGCAAAACGAGAAACCAGGGAAGAAGAGAGATTTTTTTTGTAGAATGTTACAATATATTTTCAGGTTACATCATATAGAGAGATAATCTTTCTAGTTTCTTTTGTGAGTAACCGGACATGATTCAATAATATTTGTTTACTAAATCACAAGTATTTATAGGACAATGTCAAATGAAGTTGAAAGTTAGTGGTATTGATGTTGACTTGAGAATTATTATTATTCTATTTCTCATATATGTACAATATCATATTATGCAGAATGGAGGTCAGCTGATGTTCAAATAGAGTGAGGTTGAGTAAGTTAATAGTCTTTATAATCTCAGTATCCATGTCTATATAATGGTCATAATAGAATCTTTCCCCCATTTGAGAATTAAATGATGTGGTCCATATAATATTTAGCATAGTGCATGATTAATGCAAGAACAAAAAAAAAATAAAAACAAATGGGTCTGGGAGAACTAGTACACTCAGGACCCTACATTTTTCCTAAGGGGATTGGATAACCACATGTTTGGCTAGAATATAAAATTCCCCTAGTGCTCACTAAAATCACTAACTGAATTTGGTACTTTACCACCCTTTTGATTCAGAATCAAGGATTTCGGCCATGCATGGACAGTTCAGTCTCTTTGATTGATTTCCTTACATCAAGGCTCATATAGGTGTTAATTGTTTGGAGTTGACTACAAGATATATCTGCCTTGCTTATAATAGACCGCCCTGGTGCTCAATAGTTTCTAGAGTAAACTACTGTCTCTCCATACTATTGTCTTTCTCTTTGATTCATCCTTGTATGAGATACCATCCAGATGTAATCACAGAAATAGACTAAGTCTCTTTCAATCTCACCCATGCAAGATTGCTGAGTGGAAAGGACTGTGCCTTAGGGCTGGCGAGAGAGCATTCCCTAGGCAGCTCTTCACACTGTGAGGACATCAAAGTCAACTGAGGTTGGGATACTAGGTCCAATGCTTATTCCCTATGGTTTATCCCAGAAAACCTCTCTTTTATTTCCATGTAGACATCAAAAAAATGGATTATAAACAAATTACAATTTCCTTACCATTTGTAGACCCAACTTCTTTCTGGGCCAAGAAAATAGAAATTCTGGAATATAGAGTGTATCTAACTTTTGGCCAACAATATAACTGCAAAGAATCCAAACAATTAGTTGCAGCTTCTAGTGATTGGTACTTCTACTTATACATGTTCCCAGAAATGATAAAAAACAAAAACACAAACAAAAACCATACCTTCAGTTCTTGAGCTCTGTGACAGTACTTAGATGATAACATTCAACACTTTAATAGTTCAATCTTAGCTGGTTGAACTATTATGGGAAGAAGCGATGCCAAGTTTCAAAGAAAGAACAGAGAATAACAGTTTCTTCTTACTGTCCCAGCTTTTTATAATTTTGTACATGTCTGATCTCCTCAACTAAGCCGTAAGTCTCCTGAAGGCTTACCATTTTCTGAGGGTCATGTGGGTAGTATTAGTTATGAAGCATGTTGCCTCCTTTAATTTAATATTATTTATTGGTCTAGCTATCTTATGAGTATTTCATAAATACCTACAATGCACTATTATGAGGCCAAAGGGTAATTAGAGCACACATAAAAATTCCTACATGATTTATAAAACTACATATTACAATTGAAGTTTTCAATTAACTCTTATTAACACAGTACCAGGCCTACATTAGTAGCTCTCCAAATATGTGTTAATTAATATGTTAATTAAAAAATATTGATTTTTAAAATTATTGTTTATTGTATCTAAGAATCCCACAGCAAAAAATAATTCTGCATTGTCAATTTTCATTCACATATGCTATAAAAATAATTGCTTCTCATAATCTTTTTGTTTTAAATAAAAGCTCAAAAATTCCTAACAACCCCTGATAACAGCTTTATAAATAAGGCTCCTGATTATAATTTCTTCTTTAAAAATATGTATTTGATACACAAAAATATGCTATTATAGTATTTAACTGCAAATTACTGAGGACTTGCCTATTACTCAAACATATTATAAGGACTCTTGAAATAGGTCTGTGTATGGCTTATCATTATAGCATAAAATTATAAATATATTGATGGCAATAGTTTTATTTTGCATCTTTAAGTTTAACTAGACATTAATTTCCTTCAGATTATTTCAGAAATTATTTTAAAATGTGAACCCGGAAAAAACTTCCATGGTTTCTCATGATCTTGTTTTCTACAATGAAATAATATCTCATTTACCTGGAAGCCAACTATTTGTCAATCTCTGCTTACCATAACAAACTCAAGAACTAGAAAATTAGCATGTGTAGCCTCTGATTAAGCAAAGAAATGTCACTGAGTTTATGCATTAGTTAAAAGAAAGTTATCAGTCATTCTTTCCAAGCATATTTGCAATTAAATTCACATGTGTATGTGCATGCACACATACATGCACCTGAAAAAACGTGGGGATTTGTTTAATCCCTAACAAAGTGGAAACAGGAAATTAGAATTGTTGGTGTAGCTATTTTTTTTAAAAAATGCATTGAAAGGTATTTGTGCATTCATTAAATAAATATATTTTAACTAACTGAGTTGAGCAATGGGCTGAGCATTAAGAAGAAAATGATGAACAACAAAACAGATTACTGCTGTAAGATCATGTAATTTAGTCTAGAGGAAGAGATGGGCTATGAGCTGAGCATTCAAAATAAAATACCCTCTTCTTTCTTCTTAACAGAGTGTCTCCCACCACTGAGGCTAAAGATGCTAGATCTTTGCTCTTTCAGGCTCTCTGTGGCTGGAGAATGGGTGAAGCACATGTTCCAATATTAGCCAATGATACTCTAGTGGCGTCTGCTAGTGTCTTCTCAAAGGGTGCTTCTTCCTTAGTGAAATGTGAAATAGTGAAAAATAAACATCTCCTAAGTGCAGACACAAGACTTAGAACTGCTGCAGCTGCCTTGCAACCATAAGAAAAAAGCCAAGGGGATTGCAGAGCACCAACATCCCTGAATTGCTGAATTAAACAACCTTAAAACTTCCCACATGCAACCTTCTTCTTAATAGAAAAATAAATCCTCATTTCTTAAGTCACTTGTATCTGGGTATTCAGTAACTTGTTACCAAAAGAATCACAACTCAACTTGTGGATTAGAGAGTGGGTGATGAGGAACTGGAAACAGAGGTTAGACTGCTCTTGGATGAGAAGGAGCCATTGACGATGGGAGAAGTAGCTGGATCTGGAGTTTGGGGAGGAGTCTGTAGGATTTTTGGTTTGTTTGGGTTTGGTTTGGTTTTTAAGAGAGAAAAGATTTGAGCATATTTAAATGATCATTGGCAGGATCGAATGCAGAGGAGAAGATAAATGATACAGAAAAGAGAAGGATCGTCTTTAGGGTGAGATACCTGAGAATGAAAGAAGGTGGTATGTCCAGCACCATATTGCTCCACAGGACACCAGTGATCCCTCCCTCTTTCTAAAAACACTTTATTCTGACGTCTGACCTTCAGGATTATGCAAAAACAAAACAAAACAAAACAAAGCAAAAGAAAAAAATATTTTCTTCTTTTTGCACTCATGACATAAACAGCAGTGATTTCCCTCCTCTCTCACCCTCTGTTTCTTCCCACTCTCCAATGCTTTCTCTACTTTTGCTGAAATTCCTAACACTGAGGCAGACCTGGGGCCTCAGTCCTTACTCCTCTTCTACTTTCCATAGTTTTAAATCCCATCAATATCACAATGACATCCAAATGTATATCTCAGGCCTTAATTCATCTCTGTACTCTGGACTGTCTCCTTAATATGTCAATTTGGATTCTTCAAATCCTGAAATCTCAGAACTCCTGGTTCTGCAACAATTACCTATTACCCATCTCCCTAACTCCTATTACACACACCACACACATGCATGCAAAATACATGCTTCTACTTCCAGGCTTTCACTCTTGCATAAATGCCAATCTTGTCCACCTAGCTGTCTAAACCAAAGACCTGGAATTATCTTTAGTTCTTTTCTTTTTCATCATCTCCACCTCCTCATATTCAACCCATAAGATAGCCTTATTGCTTTATTTCATACATACTGAATCTCAACTTTAGGCCAAGCCACTATTATCTCTCAGCAAGACTACCGTGACATCATTCCTGTTTCTTCTGCTCTTGCTTGCCTATAAGAATTTAACCTTCAGGTAGCATCTAAAGTTGTCTTTTGTAAATATAGATAGGATCACATCTCTTCCTTATTTAAAATCCTCAAGGGCCTTCCTGTTACATGTAAAATAAAATTCAAATTCTTTGGCATGGCCTCTAAAAACCTAAATGATCTGGACTTGTTTATCCTTACAATTGCATCTCTCCCCCAATTTCCCATATTTATTTTACTCAAGTCACACTTGTCTTTATGCTTTGTGAACCTAGCCTCTTTGAATATCACCCCCTACACTTATGTGGTTCAAAATCCGCACAACCACATGCAGCAACTGTGCTTCATGGCATTGAAACTTGCTGTCCTCTGTTTCTGGTACTATTCCCCCTAATTCTGGAATGGCCTGACTTCTCAACTCAAATGTCATTTAATAATGATGAAAACTGTGATGATAATAATGATAATGGTGATGATAATGATAATGAAGCTCAGTGCCTAATGTCCTCCTCAACTCATTCACCACCCTTCTGTGTCTTTCTCTGTGGCTCAGGATATCATCCTCCACTGAATACATCTTCTAGATTCCCTTATCATGAATTCCGATTGGATGTTCTGATAGTAAGTAATGCTAGAAGATGCAAAAATGGGAAGAGATAGGTTAGGGTATCACCCTCCCATGGTTCTCCCTGACAAGCAACTCTTCCTCCATGGCTGAGTTTCTTTATGACCACAACTCTTGTCAGGGGATCCATATGCAAGAGCAGCTAAATCATACAGAAAATAATCATCTTTAAGGTAAGATTATGGAGACTGAAGGAAGAAGATCATATGCCGAGCTCCAAAGGACACCAGTGATTCTTTTTCACAGCTACTGCTCCCACCAAGCTCTGGTAAATACTCTCATTCTTTCCCTGTGTCTCTTCATGCTTACGGGTAGTAATGGCTTGGCTTTCTACTGTTACTATTACCTGGGTGATTTTCCACATCCTGCTGGTTCCATCATCTAATCCTACACCTCCATAAATGGCCCCTTCATTAAACTCTCTTCATTTGAACTCCTGAATGTGCTAATTGGTCTTTGACAGATACTATAGCTACAATCATTGAATGTTTCCTGTAATCCAGGTGCTCTTCTAAACACATTACACTTATTTAATTCATATTAACACTAATATGTAAATACTGACAAGGCTAACTTTACTAATGAGAAAACTCAGAAACAGAGAGTCTAAGTAACTTGCCCAGCATTACTCAGGCAGTAAGCAGTAGAATCTGAGCCTCAGTCCATGTTCTCAACCCTCATGCTATATTGCTTCCCAAGAGGTATCTTTCCTTGCCACACTAGTAAATGCTGCCTTCTCCCCATCCTCACCTCCTGTCTTGTCACTGTTTCATGTCACCTCTTTACTCTCTTCTTAGAGCTTATCAGTTTTAAAAATATCATTTATATTTATTTATGATGATGATTAATTTTATACGTCACCATCACTGGGCCAAGTGTGCCCGAATATCTGGTTAAACATTATCTCTGGGTGTATCTGTGAGGGTGTTTCCAGGAGAGATTAGCATTTGAATTGATGTCTTACTAAAGCAGATGGCCCTCCCCAGTAAAGCAGATGGCTGTGTATCATCCAATCACTTATGGGCCTAAATAGAACAAAAAGGTGGAGGAATGTTCAATTTGCTTTCTGCCTGATAGTATAAGCTGGGCCATCATTCTTTCCACCCTCCCACCTGTACTGGAATCTATATCATTATCTCTGCTGTTCTCAGGCCTTCGAACTACACTGGCTTTTCTGCGTCTTCTGCTTATAGATGACAGATTGTAGAACTTCTCAGCCTCCATAACAGTGTAAGCCAATAACGTAAAATAAATCTCTATAAACATATATATATACACACACACATATATACATATATATACACACATATATATACACACATATATATACTCACAGGCTAACCTTGTTTTATTGTTGTTTGCTTTATTATACTTTCCACATAGTGCATTTTTTTTATAAATTGAAAGTTTGTGGCAACCACATATCAACCAAGTCTATCAGCACCATTTTTCCAACAGCATCTGCTCACTTCCTGTCTCTGTGCCATATTTTGGTAATTCTCAAAATATTTAAAATGTTTTGATTACTATTGTATCTATTAGGGTGATCACTGATTGATATGGTTTGGATATTTTGTCCCCACTGAATCACATATTGAAATGTAACCTCAAATGTTGGAGGTAGGCCTATTAGGAGGTGTTTGGGTCATGGGGGTGGATCCCTCATGAATGTATTGGTGCCCCCTCATAATAATGAGTCAGTTCTTGCTCTTTCACATGAGATTTCACGGTTTAAAAGACTGTGGCATCTACTCCCTTGCTCCAGGTCTCACCATGTTAAGCACTGGCTCTCCCTTCACCCTCTGCCATGATTGTCAGATTCCTGAGGTTCACAGGCCAAAATAAACCTCCCTTCTTTATAAATTATATAACCTCAGGTATTTATTAATAGCAATGTGAATGGGCTGACACTGTGATCTTTGATGTTACTTTTGTAATTGTTTTGGAGTGCTGTGAACTGCAGCCATCTAAGATAGCAAACTTAATCCATAAATGTTGTGTATGTTCTGATTGCTCCACCAACTGGCCATTCTCAAGTCTCTCTCCTTCCGCTCCTGCCTCCCTATTCCCTAAGACACAACAGTATTAAAGTTAGGCCAGTTAATAACCCTACAATGCCCTCTCACTGTTCAAGTGAAAGAAGAGTCACACATCTCTCATTTTCAATCAAAAGTTGGAAGTAAGCCTAAAAGTGTTACCTACTGAACACACAAATGATAAAAAAGCAAACTAATGTGTTATTGCTGATACAGAGAAAATTTTAGTAGTCTGGATAAAAGATCAAAACAGCTACAACATTCTTTCAAAATCCTCAAGGGGCTTCTCTCAAGCTAAAGCCTAATCCAGAGCAAGACCCTAACTCTCTTCAATTCTATGAAGGCTGTTAGAGGTGAGGAAGCTACAGAAAAGAAGTTGGAAGCATGGAGAAATTGGTTCATCACTTGAAGGAAAGAAGATGTCCTCCATAACACAAAAGTGCATGTAGAAAGTGCTGACATAGAAGCTGCCACCAACTTATCCAGAAGATCTAGCTAAGATCACTGATGAAGGTGGCTACAGTAAGCCTGGCTTGTAGGCTTTCTTCTAAAGAAAGATGATAACAGAAGATGATACCATCTAGGAATTTCATAGCTAGAAAGAACAAGTCAATGCCTGGCTTGTAGGCTTCAAAAGAAAGACTGACTCTCTTGTTAAGGGCTAATGCAACCGGAGACTTAAGTTGAAACCAGTGATCATTTATCCTTATGGAAATCCTAGGACCCTTGAGAATTATGCTAAATCTACTTGCCCATGCTCTATAAATAGAATATCAAAGCATGCAGGACAGAACACCTGTTCATAGCATGGATTACTGAATATTTTAAGCCCACTGTTAAGACCTGCTGTTCAGGAATAAAATGTCTCTCAAAATATTACTGCTCATTGACAATGCACCTAGTCACTCAAGAGCTCTGATGGAGATATACAAGAGATTAATGCTGTTTTCATGCCTGTTTACACAACATTCATTCTACAGTCAATGAATCAAGAGGCAATTTCAACTTTCAAGTCTTATTATTTAAGAAATACATTTCATAAGGCTATAGACAGATTGATAATGATTATTCTGATGGGTCTGGGCAGAGTAAATTGAAAACCTTCTGGAAAGGACTCAGCATTATAAATTCCAATAAGAACATTCATGGGAGGAGATCAAAATATAAACATTAGCAGAAAGAAGTCAATTCTAACCCTCATGGATGACTTTGAGAGGTCAAGTCTTCAGTGGAGGAAGTAACTGCAGATCTGGTAAAAACAGCAAGAGAACTAGAATTAAAAGTAGAGCCTAAAGACATAAATGAATTGCTGCAATCTCGTGAACAAACTTGAATGAATGAGGAGTTCCTTCTTATGGATAAGTGAAGAAAGTGGTTTATGGAGACAGAATCTTCCAGAGAAGATGCTGTGAACATTGTTCAAATGACAACAAATGATATAGAATATACATAAAAGCAGTGGCATAGTTTAAGAGGATTGATTCCAATTTTGAAAGAAGTTCTACTGTGGGTAAAATCCCATCAAACTGACTTGCACACTATAAAGAAATCTTTCTTGAAAGGAAGGATCAATCAATGTGACCAACTTCATTGTTGCTTTATTTAAAAAAAAAAAAACTACCAATCCCAATCCCAGCACTTTGGGAGGCCAACACAGGAAGATCACTTGAGCCTAGCAATTCAAGACCAGCTCGGCAACATGGCAAGATCCCATCTCTACAAAACACACACACACACGTACAACATTAGCCAGGTGTATTGGTATACACCTGTAGTCCCAGCTACTTAGGAAGAATTGCTACAGCCTGGCAAGTGGAGACTGCAGTGAGCCGTGATTGCACCAGTGCACCCCAGCCCATGAAAAAAGAAAATATGAGACCCTTTCTCAAAAAAAAAAAAGAAAAGAAAAGAAATTACATAGCCACCCTAATCTTCAGCAACTACCACCCCGATCAGTCAGCAGCCATCACCATTAAGACACAACCTTCCACCAGCAAAAAGATTAAGACTCACTGAAGTTTCCAGTGATCATTAGTACTGTTTAGCAATAAAATATTTTTAATTAAGGTATGTACATTTTTAGATAAAATGTTATACACATTAAAATACAGTGTCATGTAAACGTAATTTATATATGTATTGGGAAACCAAAAAATGTCTGTGGCTCACTTTACTGTGTTATTCACTTTATTGTGATGGTCTGGAACCGAACACACAGTATTTCTGAGGTATCCCTGAATCTCCTATTGTACTATTAATCATCTATCTATCAAGTAATCTATCTCTCTCCTATGGGTTCTGTTTCGCTAGATAACCTTGACTAATGCATTTAAATATGAGTTTATGTTCTGTCTCTACTATGGAATGATAAGTACTAGAGACCAGGAAAACAGGCCTGTTCATATCAGTATCCACAGTGTATAAATTATACATACTGTAAGTATTCAACAAAATATGACTTACATGTCAACATAGCAATAAGAAAATTTGAATGTGAAAGCCGGCAAGAAAATTAGGCCAGGCACCGCGGCTCACGCCTGTAATCCTGCACTTTGGGAGGCCAAGGCGGGTGGATCATGAGGTCAGGAGATCGAGACTATCCTAGCTAACACGATGAAACCCCGTCTCTACCAAAAAAATACAAAAAATTAGCCGGACGTGGTGGCGGGCACCTGTAGTCCCAGCTACTTGGGAGGCTGAGGCTTGAACCCGGGAGGAAGAGCTTACAGTGAGCCAAGATCGCGCCACTGCACTCCAGCCTGGGCAACAGAGCGAGACTCCATCTCAAAAAAAAAAAGGAAGCCAAGATGGCCGAATAGGAACAGCTCCAGTCTACAGCTCCCAGCGCGAGTGACGCAGAAGATGGGTGATTTCTGCATTACCAACTGAGGTACCAGGTTGATCTCACTGGGGAGAGCCAGACAGTGGGTGCAGGACAGAGGGTGCAGTGCACTGTGCGTGAGCCGAAGCAGGGCGAGGCATCGCCTCACCCGGGAAGCACAAGGGGTCAGGGAATTCCCTTTCCTAGTCAAAGAAACAGGTGACAGATGGCACTTGGAAAATCGGGTCACTCCCACCCTAATACTGCACTTTTCCAATGGGCTTAACAAACGGCACACCAGGAGATTATATCACGCACATGGCTCAGAGGGTCCTACGCCCACGGAGCCTTGCTCATGCTAGCATAGCAGTCTGAGATCAAACTGCAAGGTGGCAGCGAGGCTGCGGGAGGGGCACCCGCCATTACCCAGGCTTGAGTAGGTAAACAGAGTGGCCAGGAAGCTCGAACTGGGTGGAGCTCACCACAGCTCAAGGAGGCCTGCCTGCCTCTGCAGACTCCACCTCTGGGGGCAGGGCACAGACAAACAAAAGACGGCAATAACCTCTGCAGACTTAAATGTCCCTGTCTGACAGCTTTGAAGAGAGTAGTGGTTCTCCCAGCACACAGCTTGAGATCTGAGAACGGGCAGACTGCCTCCTCAAGTGGGTCCCTGACCCCCGAGTAGCCTAACTGGGAGGCACCCCCCATTAGGGGCGGACTGACACCTCACACGGCCAGGTACTCCTCTGAGACAAAACTTCCAGAGGAACGATCAGGCAGCAGCATTTGCGGTTCACCAATATCCACTGTTCTGCAGCCGCCGCTGCTGATACCCAGGCAAACAGGGTCTGGAGTGCACCTCCAGTAAACTCCAACTGACCTGCAGCTGAGGGTCCTGACTGTTAAAAGGAAAACTAACAAACAGAAAGGACATCCACACCAAAAACCCATCTGTACGTCACGATCATCAAAGACCAAAGGTAGATAAAACCACAAAGATGAGGAAAAAACAGAGCAGAAAAACTGGAAACTAAAAATCAGAGCGCCTCTCCTCCTCCAAAGGAATGCAGCTCCTCACCAGCAATGGAACAAAGCTAGACGGAGAATGACTTTGACGAGTTGAGAGAAGAAGGCTTCAGAAGATCAAACTACTCTGAGCTAAAGGAGGAAGTTCGAAACAATGACAAAGAAGTTAAAAACTTTGAAAAAAAATTAGATGAATGGATAACTAGAATAACCAATGCAGAGAAGTCTTTAAGGGACCTGATGGAGCTGAAAACCATGGCATGAGAACTACGTGACGAATGCACAAGCCTCAGTAACCGACGCGATCAACTGGAAGAAAGGGTATCAGCTATGTAAGACGAAATGAATGAAATGAAGCGTGAATACAAGTTTAGAGAAAAAAGAATAAAAAGAAATGAACAAAGCCTCCAAGAAATACGGGACTATGTGAAAAGACCAAAACTACGTCTGATTGTTGTACCTGAAAGTGACGGGGAGAATGGAACCAAGTTGGAAAACATTCTGCAGGATATTATCCAGGAGAACTTCCCCAATATAGCAATGCAGGCCAACATTCACATTCAGGAAATACAGAGAATGCCACAAAGATACTCCTCAAGAAGAGCAACTCCAAGACACATAATTGTCAGATTCACCAAAGTTGAAATGAAGGAAAAAATGTTAAGGGCAGCCCGAGAGAAAGGTCGGGTTACCCACAAAGGGAAGCCCATCAGACTAACAGCTGATCTCTCAGCAGAAACTCTACAAGCCAGAAGAGAGTGGGGGCCAATATCAACGTTCTTAAAGAAAAGAATTTTCAACCCAGAATTTCATATCCAGCCAAACTAAGCTTCATAAGTGAAGGAGAAATAAAATACTTTACAGACAAGCAAATGCTGAGAGATTTTGTCACCACCAGGCCTGCCCTAAAAGAGCTCCTGAAGGAAGCACTAAACATGGAAAGGAACAACCAGTACCAGCCACTGCAAAAACATGCCAAATTGTAAAGACCATCAGGACTAGAAAGAAACTGCATCAACTAACGAGCAAAATAACCAGCTAACATCAGAATGACAGGATCAAATTCACACATAACAATACTAACCTTAAAAGTAAATGGCCTAAATGCTCCAATTAAAAGGCACAGACTGGCAAATTGGATAAAGAGTCAACACCCATCTGTGTGCTGTATTCAGGAAACCCATCTCATGTGCAGAGACACACACAGGCTCAAAATAAAGGAATGGAGGAAGATCTACCAAGCAAATGGAAAACAAAAAAAGGCAGGGGTTGCAATCCTAGTCTCTGATAAAACAGACTTTAAACCAACAAAGATCAAAAGAGACAAAGAAGGCCATTAGATAATGGCAAAGGGATCAATTCAATAAGAAGAACTAACTCTCCTAAATATATACGCACCCAATACAGCAGCACCCAGATTCATAAAGCAAGTCCTTAGTGACCTGCAAAGAACTTAGACTCCCACACAATAACAATGGGAGACTTTAACACCCCACTGTCAACATTAGACAGATCAACGAGACAGAAAGTTAACAAGGATATCCAGGAACTGAACTCAGCTCTGCACCAAGCGGACCTAATAGACATCTACAGAACTCTCCACCCCAAATCAACAGAATATACATTTTTTTCAGCACCACACCACACCTATTACAAAATTGACCACATAGTTGGAAGTAAAGCACTCCTCAGCAAATGTAAAAGAACAGAAATTATAACAAACTGTCTCTCAGACCACAGTGCAATCAAACTAGAACTCAGGATTAAGAAACTCACTCAAAACCGCTCAACTACATGGAAACTGAACAACCTGCTCCTGAATGACTACTGCGTACATAATGAAATGAAGGCAGAAATAAAGATGTTCTTTGAAACCAACGAGAACAAAGACATAACATACCAGAATCTCTGGGACGCATTCAAAGCAGTGTGTAGAGGGAAATTTATAGCACTAAATGCCCACAAGAGAAAGCAGGAAAGATCTAAAATTGACACCCTAACATCACAATTAAAAGAATTAGAGAAGCAAGAGCAAACACATTCAAAAGCTAGCAGAAGGCAAGAAATAACTAAGATCAGAGCAGAACTGAAGGAAATGGAGACACAAAAAACCCTTCAAAAAATCAATGAATCCAGGAGCCGGTTTTTTGAAAAGATCAACAAAATTGATAGACCGCTGGCAAGACTAATAAAGAAGAAAAGAGAGAAGAATCAAATAGATGCAATAAAAAATGAAAAAGGGGATGTCACCACTGATCCCACAGAAATACAAACTACCATCAGAGAATACTATAAACACCTATACACAAATAAACTAGAAAATCTAGAAGAAATGGATAAATTCCTCGACACATACACCCTCCCAAGACTAAACCAGGAAGAAGTTGAATCTCTGAATAGACCAATAACAGGCTCTGAAATTGAGGCAATAATTAATAGCTTACCAACCAAAAAAAGCCCAGGACCAGATGGATTCACAGCCAAATTCTACCAGAGGTACAAAGAGGAGCTGGTACCATTCCTTCTGAAACTATTCCAGTCAATAGAAAAAGAGGGAATCCTCCCTAACCCATTTTATGAGGCCAGCATCATCCTGATACCAAAGCCTGGCAGAGACACAACCAAAAAAGAGAATTTTAGACCAATATCCTTGATGAACATAGATGCAAAAATCCTCAATAAAATACTGGCAAACCAAATACAGCAACACATCAAAAAGCTTATCCACCATGATCAAGTGGGCTTCATCCCTCGGATGCAAGGCTGGTTCAACATATGAAAATCAATAAACGTAATCCAGCATATAAACAGAACCAAAGACAAAAATCACATGATTATCTCAATAGATGCAGAAAAGGCCTTTGACAAAATTCAACAACTCTTCAAGCTAAAAATTCTCAATAAATTAGGTATTGATGGGAGGTATCTCAAAATAATAAGAGCTATCTATGACAAACCCACAGCCAATATCATACTGAATGGACAAAAACTGGAAGCATTCCCTTTGAAAACTGGCACAAGACAGGGATGCCCTCTCTCACCACTCCTATTCAACATAGTGTTGGAAGTTCTGGCCAGGGCAATCAGGCAGGAGAAGGAAATAAAGGGCATTCAATTAGGACAAGAGGAAGTAAAATTGTCCCTGTTTGCAGATGACATGATTGTATATCTGGAAAACCCCATCGTCTCAGCCCAAAATCTCCTTAGCTGATAAGCAACTTCAGCAAAGTCTCAGGATATAAAATCAATGTGCAAAAATCACAAGCATTCTTATACACACCAATAACAGACAAACAGAGAGCCAAATCATGAATGAACTCCCATTCACAACTGCTTCAAAGAGAATAAAATACCTAGGAATCCAACTTACAAGGGATGTGAAGGATCTCTTCAAGG
The DNA here is from genome assembly GCF_000001405.40 of Homo sapiens. NCBI lineage: Eukaryota > Metazoa > Chordata > Mammalia > Primates > Hominidae > Homo > Homo sapiens. The sequence continues at coordinate 173,447,756 of NC_000003.12, read as the reverse complement.
AGAACTACAAACCACTGCTCAATAAAATAAAAGAGGATACAAACAAATGAAAGAACATTCCATGCTCATGGGTAGGAAGAATCAATATCATGAAAATGGCCATACTGCCCAAGGTAATTTATAGATTCAATGCCATCCCCATCAAGCTACCAATGACTTTCTTCACAGAATTGGAAAAAACTAAAGTTCATATGGGACCAAAAAAGAGCCTGCATTGCCAAGTCAATCCTAAGCCAAAAGAACAAAGCTGGAGGCATCACGTTACCTGACTTCAAACTATACTACAAGGCTACAGTAACCAAAACAGCCTGGTACTGGTACCAAAACAGAGATATAGATCAATGAAACAGAACAGAGCCCTCAGAAATAATGCCATGTATCTACAACTACCTGATCTTTGACAAACCTGAGAAAAACAAGCAATGGGGAAAGGATTCCCTATTTAATAAATGGTGCTGGGAAAACTGGCTAGCCATACATAGAAAGCTGAAACTGGATCCCTTCCTTACACCTTATACAAAAATTAATTCAAGATGCATTAAAGACTTAAATGTTAGACCTAAAACCATAAAAATCCTAGAAGAAAACCTAGACATTACCATTCAGGACATAGGCATGGGCAAGGACTTCATGACTAAAACACCAAAAGCAATGGCAACAAAAGTCAAAATTGACAAATGGGTTCTAATTCAACTAAAGAGCTTCTGCACAGCAAAAGAAACCACCATCAGAGTGAACAGGCAACCTACAGAATGGGAGAAAATTTTTGCAACCTACTCATCTGACAAAGGGCTAATATCCAGAATCTACAATGAACTCAAACAAATTTACAAGAAAAAAACAAACAACCCCATCAAAAAGTGGGCAAAGGATGTGAACAGACACTTCGCAAAAGAAGACATTTATGCAGCCAAAAAACACATGAAAAAATGTTCATCCTCGCTGGCCATCAGAGAAATGCAAATCAAAACCACAATGAGATCCCATCTCACACCAGTTAGAATGGCAATCATTACGAAGTCAGGAAACAACAGGTGCTGGAGAGGATGTGGACAAATAGTAACACTTTTACTGTTGGTGGGACTGTAAACTAGTTCAACCATTGTGGAAGTTGGTGTGCCAATTCCTCAGGGATCTGGAACTAGAAATACCATTTGACCCAGTCATCCCATAACTGGGTATATACCCAAAGGATTGTAAATCATGCTGCTATAAAGACACATGCACACGTATGTTTATTGCGGCACTATTCACAATAGCAAAGACTTAGAACCAACCCAAATGCCCAACAATGATAGACTGGATTAAGAAAATGTGGCACATATACACCATGGAATACTACGCAGCCATAAAAAATGATGAGTTCATGTCCTTTGTAGGGACATGGATGAAGCTGGAAACCATCATTCTCAGCAAACTATTGCAAGGACAAAAAAACCAAACACCGCATGTTCTCACTCATAGGTGGGAATTGAACAATGAGAACACATGGACACAGGAAGGGGAACATCACACACCGGGACTGTTGTGGGGTGGGGGTAGGGGGGAGGGATAGCATTAGGAGATATACCTAATGCTAAATGACAAGTTGATGGGTGCAGCACACCAACATGGCACATGTATACATATGTAACAAACCTGCACGTTGTGCACATGTACCCTAAAACTTAAAGTATAATAATAGTAAAAAAAAAAAGAAAAAAAGAAAAGAAAAAAGAAGGAAAATTAATGGAATTTGCATCTGATAGCTTTTATTTTCTCTGTAAAGCAAAAACAGGGGTAATCTGCTCACAGTAAGGGCAAGGGTGGATAGATCAAATGTCTGTTAGAGGTGGAGAAGTTTTGAAAACCTCATTGCACAAATCAGGAAACTAAAGAAGAGCAATCATATTGCCAGGTTCTGCTAAGGGCTTATCTGAGGTTGGTCAGTGTGAACTTAAAGTGTTCCCAAACTTCCCTGTCTTCTGATGTTCTAAAATAATGCTTGGCTTCCCTGGTGCAAGCACAAAGAAAACCCTGCTAGGTTCAACAAGAATGAAGAATAAGGCTGCTGATATGTAGAAAACACAATGGCTCCAAAGTTTTAGCAATCTGAAGCCATTTAATGTGGAAGAAAACTGTCCAACATATCTCAGCAGGCTCTAAAACCATTACTCTATTAGTGCAGACGGTACCAATTGAGCTCACTGTATGGGAAGAGCAAAATGTTCAGGAATTGGAGTCAGTTCAGCCATGTACTAGCTATGAGATCATTGGCAAATTATCTAACCTCTCCAAGTCTCAGGTTTTGCTTCTGTAAATTGAAACATGTATAAAGAGTTTTGAGCCTGGATATTAATCTTTAATTAACTTAAGCTTTAATTAACCATACCTAAGGAACAGGTCATTTTACTAGAATACCAAATAAAACAAAAGACACCAACTGACAGGAAACCATAATAGATCTTCACACAAGTCCTTGTTTTTTTTTTTTTTTTTTTTTTTTTTTTGAGACGGAGTCTCGCTCTGTCGCCCAGGCTGGAGTGCAGTGGCGGGATCTCGGCTCACTGCAAGCTCCGCCTCCCGGGTTCACGCCATTCTCCTGCCTCAGCCTCCCAAGTAGCTGGGACTACAGGCGCCCGCCACTACGCCCGGCTAATTTTTTGTATTTTTAGTAGAGACGGGGTTTCACCGTTTTAGCCGGGATGGTCTCGATCTCCTGACCTCGTGATCCGCCCGCCTCGGCCTCCCAAAGTGCTGGGATTACAGGCGTGAGCCGCGACCGCGCCCGGCCAAGTCCTTGTTTTTTTTTTAATACAAGTCCTTGCATATTGCATTCCTGAAGCAGCAGAATAAAACACCAAAGAAAATATTTTCTGTAATGTTAAAGGGCTACAAAATGTAATATATGTGTGTGAGTATGTGTGTATATATATACAAACACACACAACTATATACTGCAGTATCTATCCACATTTATATTTATATATACACACATATATACACATGTATATACACACACATATGTATATATGTGTATATATAGATAGATAGATAGACACTGCAATATATAGTTGTGACCATCCAGCCGTTGAGGCCAGGAAATATAAAAAGTAAACTAATATAGTAAGGGCATTTTCAAGTTTTAGCTTTTTTGAGAAATGTCCATTTTCTTCAAGGAACCAAATTAAATAAAGTAAAATAGTGAATATATATATTTTTTTGAAAGACCAAAATCCACACATTTGTATTTAAATTAATAGTTGTAATTTTTAGCTTAAAAATCAACTATGCAGAAGTTGCCTTATCCAGACTGGGAGAAAAGATGGCAGAAGGTGAAATAAATGTATACCAGACCTGCATGAAATCACACCCGTGCTCATTTCATTCAAGCAGAAGTCTAACTTTTATCTTCCATTTTATAGATATTACAGCCTATTCATTTTGATGAGCAGCATTACCTGCTGTCCTTCTGTTATACAGATATGGAGCCACAGACATCTATCGTTTTATCTAGGCATAAAACATAATATCAAATATGAAAGTGATTTTATGACAACCTTAGAAGAGCAGCCATTAAACTTTTTAAAACGATGTTTAAGTCAGGATTTTATAAACAAGACTGTAATTCTAAATTCCTATAATCTTAGTATTGTATTCCAGTGATATTGCCTTTTTAGAAAGATGCCCAGTATATGTGATATTTTTCAAACTATATTTTTTGCAGATCTTTTCAAGTTAAAATTATACATAGATATCACAAAAAATAGACTGGAGCAAAAATGACGAGCAAATTAATACCGAAGTATCGATACAATCTTATGTTGGTTATTATCCAAGAATGCATGTTCACTGATCAGTTAAGTGAGCCATTTATACAATGATATGCTGTCAATGAATAAGCATGAGTAGGTGTAAATTATCTATTTCAAAATTGTATTACCTTGAAAAATATGATTCCTTCAAGTTCTTTACAGCATTACAATTTTCAATATTAACGGTTATGGGTTTAACTAGCACTATAGTCTTTCTACTAAGAAAACACAATGAAATTGTTCTCTAGAAAATAATTGCACCTTAAGCGTAATGTTTACACGTTTTTCTTCCTAAAGCAACAAAAATTCATAAATTGCCAGAAAAGTAAACATTGTTGAAAATTGAAAATTAAATACCAAAAGTCTAAGTCTGAAAGTAAATTTTTAAAATGTGCTGTGTGCATCCTTATTGATACTGCACATACAATATATATGTTTATTTACTTCTTTTTCCATTCTCATTAAATGCTTTCAAAAATAGAAAATAATTTTCAAATTATCAAAGCAACAGAAATCATAATCAATAAAGTCATATAAAATGGTATTGGGAGTACAGTTTCAAAAAATTAATAATTTAATCACAAAGAGCTTCAATTTATCCTTTTATGACTATATATATAGTCATAGTGTATATATATATATAGTATATATATAATATATATACTATTAAAGTAAAAATATAAAAATTGGGCAATTTTTTTAAAAAACTTCTTTTTTTTTGGAGACAGGGTCTTCTTGCTCCATCACCCAGGCTAGAGTGCAGTGACATGATCATAGGTTACTGCAGCCTCCAATTCCTGCGATCAAGTGATCTTCCCACCTCAGTCTTCCTAGTAGTAGGGATTATAGCCACTAGGTACAACACCTGACTGGCATTTAATTTTAAATCTTGTGTTTCCACTTTAAAATATACAGCCATTTGCCTCCCCTGGAAAGACTGCTGACACAAGTGTTCTATTATAGACCCCAACTGGCTTCAAACCACTCTGTCATTTCCGTAAACTGGTTGTATAGTATTATATTATATTTACTTAGTACTATAGGCTGCTGGGTTACTTAAAAGATATATGTAATATGTGTGTATCTTACTTGTTAGACCAAGTCATACTATAATTAATCAGGCAGAAGTATAAATTTTGAAAGATTTATTACTACAACTAACAGCAGTCAAGTTATTAACATCCTTAAATTCAGAAACTCTAGGCTATATTGTCTGCCATGGTATTTATTATCAAATCCTGCAGACCTCTGATTAATAGAATTAATCAAATAACTTTCAAAAGTTAATATTTTAATATAATCTTGAAAATAATTTTAGAGTTGTTTCTAGCCTAATATTAAGACTCAATAATTACTGAAAGTACACAAGAAAACTAGTGTAAAATTTAAACCTTTCAATACAAACATCCCTATCCAGTCATTTATATGCTAACAAAGTGAAGTTACAAAAATTAGCCTGCAGGAATCTCTTTTTCCTTGGAGAATATTACACACGTTGAATGTTACACATTATTTTTGGCTGGATTCAGGAACAATGTGATCTGCTTTATTAAAAGGAGAGATGAAACCAATTTAACTGTATAATGAAAAACTTGTTTGATAGAAAATATGATCAGTAATTTTACATGAAAAATAAACATTTGATACATTTTAAATACAATGGAAATAACTCAATACTCTTTATACACGAAAAACCCCACTTAGTTTTTTATAGCATTAAGATTTTCAATAATTAATGATTTTAAAATCAAAAATAAACAGGCAATGCACTCAACACAAATCACTGCACATTGAAAACTGCGTAACAGATTTAAGATCCCAAATGTTATTGGCATTTTTCTAACTTGCAAAGACACATTCATTACTCCAAATTTAATTGCTGTTTATACATATTTTTACATAATTTGACTGCAAATGTCATGGTTTTGAAGTTAAAGGGGCTAATACACACCTTGACTTCCTACAATACAGATTTTTCAGGTTCATTTCAAAATATTAAAATTAGATTAATACAGAAGGCAACCAGGAATTTACATCATGACTTGGTGGTTTAACAGATTTAATGTATACTTCAAATACAGGCATACCTTGTTTGATCACACTTCTTTTTACTGGGCTTTGCAGAGAATGTATTTTTCACAAATTGGAAGTTTATGGCAACTCTGCATTAGCCAAATTGATTGGTGTCATTTTCCCAACAGCATGTGCTCACTTTGTGTGGCACTTCTCATGTATTTCAACTTTTTCATTATTATGACATCTGTTACGTTGATCTGTGATCAGTGATCTTTGATGTTTCCATTGTGATTGTGCCCGGGTGTTGGAAACCCCATCCACAAAGATGGCAGACTTAACTGACAAATATGTGTGTTCTGACTGCTCCACTAACCATCATTTCCCTATCTCTCTGCCTCTCCTCCTGCCTCCCTATTACCAGAGACACAACAATACTGAAACTAGGCCAATTAATAATCCTACAATGGTCCCTCACTGTTCAAGTGAAAGGAGAGTCACATATATCTCACCTTCAATCAAAACTAGAAATACTTAAGTTTGGTGAGGAAGGGATGCCTAAAACCAAAATAGGCCAAAAGCTAGGGCTCTTGTTTCAAATGGTTAGCTAAGTTGTAAATGCAAAGGAAAAGATCGTGAAGAAAATTAAAAGTGTGACTCCACTGAACACAAAAATGTTAAGAAAGCAAAACAACGCGTTATTGCTGATATGAAGAAAGTTTTAGTAGTCTGGATAAAAGATCAAACCACCTACAAAATTCCACTAAGCTAAAGCCTAACCCACAGCAAGGCCCTAACTCTTCAATTCTGTGAAGGCTGAGAGAGGTTAGGAGACTACAGAAGGAAAGCTGGAAGCTAGCAGAGACTGGTTCATGAGGTTGAAGGAAAGAAGACATTCCTATAACGTAAAAGTGCAAGGTGAAGCAGAAAGTCCTGGTGTAGAAGCTGCACCATTTATCCGGAAGATCATTCAGGAAGGTGGCTATAGAAAGCAACAAATTTTCAATGTCAGTGAAACAGCCTTCTATTAGAAGAAGATACCATCTAAGACTTTCATAGCTAGAGAGAAGTCAATGTCTGGCTTGCAGGCTTCAAAAGAAAGACTGGCTCTTTTGTTAGGGGCTAATGCAGCTAGAGACTTTATATTGAAACCACTGGTCATTTATCATTGTGAAAGTCCTAAGATCCTTACGAATTATGCTAAATCTACTCTGCCTGTGCTCTATAAATAGAATAATAAAGCCTGGATGACAGCACATCTCTTTACAGCATGGATTACTGAATATATTAAGCCTACAGTTCAGACCTATCTTTTCAAAATATTACTGCTCATTGACAACGCACCTAGTCACTCAAGAGCTCTGATGTAGATGTACAAGATTAATGTCGTTTTCATGCCTGCTCACACAACATTCATTCTGTACCCCATAGATTAAGAGGGAATTTCAACTTTCAAGTCTTATTATTTAAGAAATACACTGTAAGGCTACCACTGCCATAGATAGTGATTTCTCTAATGGATCTGGGCAAAGTAAATGGAAAACCTTCTTCCAAAGATTTACCATCCTAGGTGCCACTGAGAACATTTGTGATTCACAGGAGGAGATCAAAATATCAACATTAGCAAAAATAAGTTCATTCCAACCCTCATGGATGACTTTGAGTGGTTTAAGTCTTCAGTGGAGGAAGTAACTGCAGATTTGGTTAAAAAAAATAGCAAAAAAACTAGAATTAAAAGTAGAGTCTAAAGATATGAATGAATTGCTGCAATGTCATGAACAAACTTGAATGGATGAGGAGTTGCATCTTGTGGATGTCAAAGACATGAAATCTACTCCTGGTAAAGATGCTCTAAACATTGTTGAAATGATAACAAAGGATTTAGTACATCACATAAACTTACTTGATAAAGCAACTAAGAGAGAGAATTGACTCTAATTTTGAAAGAAATTCTACTGTGGGTAAAATCCTACCAAACTGACTTGCATGATACAAAGAAATCTTTCCTAAAAGGAAGAATCAACTGATGCAGCAAACTTCATTGCTGTCTTATTTGAAAAAGTTCCCAGAGTCACCCCAATTTTTAGCAACCACCACTCTGATCAGTCAGTAGCCATAAACATCAAGGCAAGACCCTCCAGCAATAAAAAGATTAAGACTCACTGAAGGCTCAAATAACCATTAGCATTTTAGCTTTAAGTATTTTTAAATTAAGATACGTATTTTGCTTTTTTTTTAGATTCAGTGGTATTGCATGCTTAATTGACTACAATATAGTGTAAACATAACTTTTATATGCACTAGAGAAACAAAAAAAATTGTGTGATTCATTTTACTGCAATATTTGCTTTATTGCAGTGATGTGGAACAAAACCTACAATATATCCAAGGTGTTCCTGTACTTTTTTTTTTTTTTTGCAGGTGAATGAGCAGTCCTTTTAACAATAAGAAATAAACTTCAGCTTCTTCAAAGATGTGAGATGAGCACATTTTTCCTTGTGTTCTACACCTTGGGACACATTTTATGGGAATAGGAGCATAACGCATTTACTCAACCTCAAAATAATTCCTCTATATAGTTTCCCGCATATTTCTTATTTGGCTCCCATTCATCCATTGGATTAAATTTCACAAGTTTATAACCATTTGTTAATATAATACTAAAACTCAACAATGAGCCTCAACAGGTTTAGAAATTCATTCTCCAGGCTTTAAACCAGTGCTTCTTGAACAGGTGTTAAGAGGAAACTAAAGAATGTGATATGTGCTATGGGGGAAAAAATTCTTCCCTTGTGCAAACAAACTTTGTTGCCTAAGCATTAAACAGACTTCAACAGCTCTTTTCTTTCCAGAAATTTTTCTTAAATATGCTAATCCAGATTGCTAATATCCAAGAGAGGAATTTAATATGAGATATTTGTCAAGCTGTTTTGACCAAGGAAATCTTAGAAAGTGAGTATCTCTGATAAATTGTGTCTCTACTGAATTGAATTTGGAAAATACTGAAATATTTCCCAGATAAGTCTATCTTTAAGGAACTTCAGAAGAGATAATCCTGAAAATGTCCACACGATAACTATGGTTTTTACTTTTCTTGCTAACATATAACACTGTTCCCTCTTCTTACATTCAAGGAAGAAAAAGGAACATCCAGTACCCATTAACTCCCTGAAGGCAACTGTATCTTTATCTTTTCTGTCTACTGAATATTTCTAATTCCTTTAATCTTTCTTTAGAATCCCATTTTGAAACGTGTGAGAGACTATTAATGATCCCTAAATCTTCCGCAGTTTTTCTATATTTTCTTAATAATTTCAGCTCTAAACTTTGAAAATAAAAGTGAAAAATTAAAACTTTTTATCAGTGATTCATAATTATAACAGGTATCAATATTAGAATCATATTATTTTTAAAAATAAGAGCACTATATTGCATACTGTTTAAAAAAGACTGCATATTGGATCTGTGAGCCCAGGATCCAGGGAAGAAATTCTGGATCAAGTTGGCATGTCTCTTTAACTTAGTTATTTCCTTCATTTCTGCCATTTTTTTCCTTGTATACTTTTAATAGGAAAGACGATATGTATAAGGCTCATTTTTTTTCACCTTTTTAAAACTATATTCCTATCTTAACCAGGAAATTGGGTTTCTGATATAGAAACTTTACAACACAAAACATTTATGCATCTAGGATATAAGATTTTCTCCATCATCAAATTAAAAGGGTTTTGATTTGGAAATACAGTCCAAAGGGGGAAAAAACCACCATTAAAGTGAAAGTTATGTCAAAATAACCAAACCATCAAAGGCTTATTTCTGTTTTTTTAAGAGAGAAATATATTCATGTCTATCTGCTATAAACCCCAAATGAATGAATCCTTCAGGACTCACTTCCCTTGATAATAAATCTGCAATGTTAAAAAAAAATCCAAAGTAACAAATTTTATAATCATTGGGGACTTGGATACTTGGAAACTCAGTCTAAGGGCTGAAATGAAAGAAAAAGACCAGTAAATTGCTAGTTTGATGGTAGAGGGGATGGTGGCAGTGGTTAAAGGGTGACTGATAGTAGGGAAGGCAGGATCAGGAAGGCAAAGATAGCAGACCTTTGTCTGTAACACAATACAGCACGTGTGTGTGTGTGCATATCTGTGTGTGTGTGTGTTGGTGGGTGGGGGTGGTGAAAGTAATGGCAGCAGCAGAGGCAAAGCCAAGAGTGATGGTGGCAGGAACGGCAATGAAAGAAACAACACACGATGCACGATACTTGGCATGTTTGTAGTCTGGAGGCAAGATTTAAAGAAAATCAAAAGTTGGTAGTCAAATGAGAGGAAATCAAGTCCACTAAGCTAAATGAAGAGTCAAGTCAGAGAACCAGCTCCAAGACAAGTACCATAGAATACAACTGAGATTAGACACAATGTCATATCCATCAACGTTCAAAAGCAGGAGGAGCAAGGGGCTGCACACAGGAGTGCTGAATAAATTCCAATGCATGTTTTATTGCAGCTGCAACTGTCTTTTAATAATGTAGCTGAAAAAGCCTCATCTTCCTTCATTCAATCTTAAAGGGCTTCTGGTCACAGTGAGTAATCAGGTCTTTACAGTAGATGACCAAGTCCTCTCAGAAAGCAGTAGTTATGGCCACAATAGACACATGTGGTATTGGCAGTGACAGACAATACCAACAGCTGAACATCTAGCTGTGATAATTAAGAAACCAGGGGATAAAGAGCAGGAGGAAGCAACAGTCAAATTATTCCAAGTATAGGTACTTTCTAAACAGATCACGACTTGGGAATTTTCCTCAGGTTTCTCATCTTATTTCTACATCCAAAAATGGAATCTTGACAGTCAAATGTTTTATGTAGTGCTTCTTATTGCTAATGTCTGAGTCAGTCATGCAGGAATCAGAATCTACTTCAAGAAGTTTTAATAAGGATGACTTTAGATCTGGACAGGGTGAAGAAAAATAAAAAGGAACATTGCAGCACCAAGGGAATGACAATAGAAAGAGGTTATGACTGGCCTAAGGGCAAGAGAAAAATAGTGTTACTGGAGTACAGTTAGAGCTGGAGGCATAGAAAAAGGCCACCCAACCTGGGTCATAGTGATAAAAAGATGTAGTAACTGCTAGAAATCATGGCTTAGAGCAGGAAAGAATGGCGGGGATGGGGTTTTAACCCAAACTCTCTCTCTTACACTCTGTTCTCCTACCATTGTCTTGCATTTGTTGGATTTTTAAAAGAAGCCAACTATCAAGGGGGCCTGGGTGGATGTAACTTATAGAAGTCAAGGTTAGCTTCTCAAGGCATACAACAAGACAAAGAAGAGGAGAACATGGATCTGGCTGGGTTGAGTTACAGATAAAAACCTGTAGATATGGAATTAATGGGACACATAGTTAAACCACGCCTAAAATTAATGCTCTTGGTCACAAACACACAGTCTTCCCTATTTGACTTCCCTAATGTAAGGTCCTCAAATCATGACAGATGGGTCATGAGTGGTAGGAAATTAAGAGTTATTAAAACATGTTCCAGAACTCATGTGTGTGCCATACATTATTTGCCAAAGAATGGGAGCCACTAACCAGAATAAACAAAATTGTGTGAGGTGGAGCAGTCTTCCGTTTGTTTATAACTACTCTGAAATAATTTTAATATTGGGAAATATATTCTAGATGTTTCCTTCTTAGCATATTTGGATGGTGACAATGAAAAATTGTTTTGCTTTTAATGCTGGTCATTTAAAACTGATTTCTTAATTTCTTAGCAAAGGCTAAATAATCATTTCTGTCTTTTCTTCTCAACAAGTGCTGGGTTCACTCAGTGTTTGGTAAATTGATGTAAAAAGCGAGTTATAGACATGCTCTAATAACATACATCATGTGTTGTTTGATTTTGTTCTTGCGGCTGTAGGTTAATCAGTTTGGTTTGGGGTTTAGTTACAAAGAACAGAGAGTCAGTTTGATATCAGTGGTTCTTTCTGACCCAAAAGCCATTATTTCTTCTTTAAAATATTCTTCTCTCATTAAAAATGATGTCAGCCTTCCTTGTTGACTAAATGCATCGTATAGACTTTTACTAAAGTTTTCTTTCTTATTTTTTTTCTTTAAAGGGAGTCTTGCTCTGTTGCCCAGGATGGAGTGCAGTGGCATGATCTCAGCTCACTGCAGCCTCTGCCTCCCAGGTTCAAGCAATTCTCCCGCCTCAGCCTCCTTAGTAGCTGGGACTACAGGCGTGCACTGCCACGCCTGGCTAATTTTTGTATTTTTAGTAGAGATAAGGTTTCACCATGTTGGCTAGGATGGTCTTGATCTCCTGACCTCGTGATATGCCCCCACCTCAGTCTCCCAAAGTGCTGGGATTACAGGCGTGTGCCACCGCACCCAGCCTACATTTTTTTTTCTAAAAATGACTTTATTGAAGTGATTATAAATATCACAACATAACGCTTCCGTGAACATAAGATTTTCATATATGTGTGTGTATGTATATATCATCAAAAGAGAATCAAACTTTGTAACATAAAAACATTATATATTTAAGTGAAAATAATAGCTGAAAAAGGGAAAGAAATTTTCAAAAATAAAATCAGTTTTTCTATGGCAGGTTATGGGGGTAGAAGGAGAAAAAGTGTACACTCAAAGCATGGTTAAAGGATTATGCCAGCTTGTCAAAACTATACTGCATATTGTATGGCTAAAAGTATTAAAATTGTTCAACAGAAAAATCAATGGAACAAAAGAGGTAAGTCATGACTATGGTGGATGGTCAGGAAACAGAATTGCTGTTTTGCCGTGGGAGCTTTTGTTACTACTTTTCTAACACTTCAGTGATTGAAAGGAAATCAAACTGCGAGAACTTACTGCCACTCCAGTGAGCCCTGGGGGATTTGTCACAAATTTGGAACTTGAGTGGCCTCAAGCTTCACAGGTCTGCTCCTCAGAAGTGTCAGAAAGCAAAGAGAAAGCAGAGAATTAGTGACACGGAACTGAGCAACTACGTATTTTCAAATGGTGGGTGAATTTCAGGCCACCTTTTAAGTTTTACATTAGACCAAATGACCAAAAAATTTCCTCTAAAGCATGTGCTACACTTAGGAGTTTCCAACAACAACCATTATTTGGCAGCTATTCACAGATAATTCTGAACCTACTCTTGCCTAATAGAAAGCTTCTTAAACACTGAAAATTGGATAAATAACTACAAAATAGAGTGGCTTTATAACTCCTTTTAGACTATTTTATAGGGTGTCATTTTACTAAGAACCTCAGAAAGGACAGGAACATTCAAGGAACTTAGCTCTTGATCCTAGAGAGCTGGTGAACATCAACAGCTTATTCTGAAAGTAGATTGTAGAGAGTGCAATTGTCTCCAACTACATGATGTCCTGTATTCCCTGAATAATGATATAATCACTAGAAATAGTGTGTTTACTCTTTGTCTGCACTTTAAACAAAAGTATACTACTTGAAACATTTATTCAAATATTGTTTCACTCTAAATCAGTGTTTCTTAAGTGAGGCCCATGAATTGTAATCACCTGCAGTGTTTGATCAAAATGCAATTTCCTAGCCCCATTACCTGGTAATTCATATGCATGTTAAAATTTGAAAACCACTACTACAAAGAACTCATGTATTATATTAGGAATAAGAATATGAACATTAGAATCTACTTTGCTATACTTTTTGCTACTTTTAAAGATTTTATGAAAAAAGGAAACTTGAGAAAATATTTTGAGTAATTTGAATATGTCTAAACATTATCTGATATAAACTATAACACATAGTTGTAATTTTCTAATTCCCCACCTCTCCTGACCCCCACTTTCTAGTTAAGGATTTTGGATTAAAGTCGATTCTAGAATTCTGAATAATCATGTATTTTCTACTTCTACAGTCTGGAAGAAAAGAATCTAAGCTTAAATAGCAAGCAGTATTTTGGCTGATTCTTAAATACTTTTAAAAGGGCCTCACTCTTCTATATTTCATCATTTTATATAGTAAATCATAAACAAATCTTAATGCTAATTAATTAATGAATTTTTAGGGACACTTTTATTTAAGCAACTTGTTTCCCATAAATACTAATTATATAACCTAAGCCAGGAGCTTCTCAACTACCAAGAAGTATCAGTTCAAGGAAACTTCCATTACGCATAAAGTGATGGGACAACTGATGTTTTAGGAAGAGCTCAATTAAATAGATATAAGGAGGGAGCAAAATGATCAAGAGCTTGGTCGCTTATAAATTAAACACTCAACATACAAATAAAAACTTATCTATGTACCAGCAATAAAGGGAGAAAATAGAAAAAAGAAAATAAATATGCACCATACAAGCAAAAATATAAAATAGCTAGAAATCTAAGAAAGTTAACAATGAAATTATAAAGTTTACTGAGGGACATGAAAGATCAGGCCCTCTTCCCTTTTCCTTCTTTTTCCTTACTGAACATTAAGCTAAACTAACTGGGTAAGACAGAGAAAAGTAGGCATCCTAATAGGGGAGGGTTTTCATCCAAGATGGCCCAGAGAAAGGGATCAGAGCCTGAGCACTGTGAGGAGAGGTTTCAGACAGGGAGGGAACACTGTGGAGAGACAGGGGATTGGCAGAATGAGGAGGCATCCAAAGAGAGGCAAGTTCAGACATAGACTGTTCAACCCCAAACAGGATGAGGGTGCTCCTGCAGGAGGGCAGCCCAATAAGGAGCATCAGAGCCCAGGTGGGGTGCGGAGGACATCTGTCAGAGGAAGGCACAATGGCAGCAATGGGAGATTGGTTCAATACAGGGCAATCGGTCAAATAGGTAAATACCTTAAGAATAATAAAAGCCATGTTTCTCATTAACACAAAAATGTTGCAAATATGAAAAGGGAGAAAACTCTCTGTGGTGTTTGATTAGAATTTTAGGTATTAGTGCAAACTCATTATTTTTAATAGATAGAAAGATAGAGAAATATAAAGAGATATAAATTGGATGAATATATATTTCCTAACTCTGTCCACTGAGAGAGCCTGGGGGGAGTGGTTCCCACATAGTAATGAGGATACCCAGCACCCAAATCTTGGATTTAAATATCATTATCCTCTAAAAGGAAATGAGACTTCTAAAAGATAACAGGAAATAAACCTAGAGGACTTTGGGTTTGGCATTAACTTTTATACACAACAACAAAGGCACAATCCACAAAAGAAATAGTTGATAAGCTGTAATTGATTACAATAAAAAAAATGCAAAAGACACTACTAGAGAATGAGAAGACAAGCCACAGACTAGATGAAAATGATTATTAAAGACATATCTGATAAAAGATTCATCCAAAATATACAAGGAACTCTTAAAACTCAACAATAAAAAAATGAATAACCTGATTAAAAAATTGGCCAAAGTCCTTAGTAAACACCTCACCAAAGAAGTTATACAGATGTAAATAAGCACAGAAAAAGATGCTCCACATCCTATGTCATTAGAGAAATGCAACTTAAAACACTAACGAGGTACTTCTACACGGCTATTAGAAAGGGCAAAATCCAGAATGCTGACAACACTAAATGCTGGCAAGGAGGTGGAACAAAAGGAACTCTCATTCACTGCTAGTGAAAATACAAATGGTATAGCATCTTTGCAAGTCAGTTTTGTAATTTCTTACAGAAGTACTTATACTCGTACCCGATGATCCAGCCATCACACCCCCTGGTATTTCCACAAAGAAGTTGAAAACTTACGTCCATATAGAAACCTGCATACAGGTGTTTATAGCAGTTTTATCTATCATTTCCAAAATTTAGAAGAATCTAAGATGTTCTTCAGTAGGCTAATGGATAAACTGTTATGCATATTGACAAAGGAATATTATTTAGCACTAAAAAGAAATGAGCTATCAAGCCATGAAAAGACATGGAGGAACCTTACATGCATATTACTAAGTGAAAGAATTCAATATGAAATTGTTACCCACCATATGATTTCAGATATACGACATTTTTAAAAAGCCAAAACTATGGAAATAGTAAGAAGTTTGGTGGTTTCCAGGGGCTGGTGGGGAGGAAGATATAAATAGGCAGACCATAGAGCCCTAGAGGATTTTTAGAGCAGTGAAACTATTCTGCATGATACTATGATGATGGGCATATATCATGATACATTTATGGAATCCACTGACTGTACTACACCAACATTCATTCCTAATGAAAATTTGGATTTTGGATGATAATGATGTGTCAATGTGGATTCACTCTTCATAACAATGTACCACTCTGGTGTAGGATGCTGATAATAGAAGAGGATATGCAAGAATGAGGGCAGGGCATATATGGGAAATCTCTGCATCTTCCAATCAATTTTACTACAAATGTAAAATTGCTCTAAAAATTAAAGTACATATTATATATATATCCAAAAATCATGCAAAAAATTGATTACTGAATTTGAAAAAATGCTCACAGATACTGATTTCATCAGGTTTGTCAATATTTCATACAAATAAAAAGTTATATATGTACAAGAAAGATTTTGTATATTATATATGTGTGCTAGATTTGATAAGGAATAAAAAGAAATTGTTTGCTCCATATTTGCCCCAAACTACTCTTATTCCTAAAGAAACAAACTAAAATGTAGATTAAAAACCAAAAAAAGGAAACACAATTATCCTCGGAGAAATGGCTGGTTCAACAGCTAGGGAAGGAAAAGCACAAGATGAGCCAGGAACATCTTACTGGGCCAGAAGTCAAGAAAGTGCTTTCAGTATGATAGGGTTATGCTAAAAGTTCATGTGTTCCGCCCTAAAATGCTTCTACTAGTGAAATAGGGAAAGTTTTAGCATGAAAGAATAAAATGATAGTAATAAACTGTGACCCATTTAATGAAAATAGAATGAGTATATACTGATATAAATTAGTCAATTAATTAATTAAAAGTTAGCTAGGTATGATATATTACAAAGGGGAAAATAATACTGTCTTCATCTGTTTGTATTGCTGTAAGAAATATCTGAGGCTGGGTACTTTATAAAGAAAATATATTTGGCTCACAGTTCTCCAGGCTGTACAAGAAGCATGGTATCAGCATCTGCTTCTGGTGCTGCCAGGAAGTTTCTGCTCATGATAGAAAGCAAAGAGGAGCTGGTATGTAAAGATCACACGGTGGGAAGCAGAGAAGAAGAGATGCCAGACTGTTTTTAACAACTAGATGGCAAAGGAACTAAGAGTGAGAACTCATTTAATCTCATGAGAATGCCACTAAGCCATGAGGGCATATCCCTCATAACGCAAACACTTTCCACTAGGTCACACCTCCTATATTGGGGATAAAGTTTTAACAAGAGATTTAGAGCAGACAAATATCCAAATGATATCAGACAGCTTTACAGGGGAGAAGGCTGGCAGATACCACCTTAATCAAGAGCCACCTGATAGGACGCAGTAAGATAACAGCTTCACTTCTGTGACATTTTTCCAAAAGATACATCTTATAAAAGTAATCATGAAGAAATATCAGACAATTCCAAACTTAGAGACTATAAAACGACAGGTCTATAATCCTTAAAAGTGTCAAGAGAGTGATATTATCAAAATGGAGTAAGAGCAATCTGGCTTTACTCTCCCTCATAGAAAACCAAAATCAATTATCTAGGGCCAAGATTATCACCAGGGACATCCCAGAACTAAAAACTGAGGATGTGATGACTCCAGTTATCACAGCGAAATGAAAAACCGCAAGCAAGAGGTAAGAGAAACAAAAGCTTCTGGCCACAACACCCTCCCCTAAGCTGCCAGGCACTATGCAGAAAGGTTCTAGCAGATTCAGTTTTTACCCTGGAAAAAGTGAGATCAAGGAAGACAGACAGTTTCGTCACCAGTTAGGTTTCTTCACAGGAAAAACATTTCTGCTTGAATCCACAGGAAGCATCATAAATGCCCGTAGGGTGAAGGCTTCTAAGAGAAACTAGAGGCATAAAGCAGAGGTGTGGCTAGTACCAGCCAGGGCACAAAACTCAGCAGCTATTCTTCATCTCTGTCAAAGGAGATGCCAAATCACTGAATCTGTTCAGCAGCAACATGCTTTAGGGGAGGTACTTCAGGGGCCCTGTGGGCATAACCCTTAGCCACCTTTCCCACACAGCGGGGATATACACTTTAGGATTCCCCCAGCCCCAATCTGGGATGGGCAGCACTCTCAAGTTATTTGCAGGAACTGTGGCAAATCTGAGCAAGGGTGTCATCTAGTGCAGAAAAGGAGGCAGTGTTCTTGGGCTGAGGGTACTCAAAAATCAACTGGCACAGGACTTCTAGTCATACATACTCTAGAAAGACCAAACCAAGGCAGACAGCAAAGACTGAAATAAATAACTAAACCTTGAAAGCAAAGACATAGACATACATCCATAAGAAACAAAAGCAAACAGGTAGCCATGACCTCCACGAAAAGACAAAAAAGAAGCCAATGTCTGACCCTAAGAATATGGTGATTTTTTACCTCTCAGATCAACTATTCAAAACAGTAGTTTTGAGGAAACTCAGTGAACTCCAAGATAACACAGTAAATCGGTGCAGAAATTTATTCAGATAAATTTAACAAAAAGAATAAAATAATAAAAGATAAACAGAAATCCTGGAGCTGAGAAATACAACGGCTAGATAGAAAAATACATTAGAGGTTATTGCCAGCAAAACTGATTAAACAAAAGAATCAGAGAGTATGAAGACAGGCTGTTTGAAAATACACAGTCAGAGGACAGAAAAAAAGAATGAAAAAGAAAAAAGAATGTCTATAAGATCTAGAGGATAGCCTCAACAGAGCAAATCTAATAGCCGTCGACCGCCAGGAGGGAGTTGAGAAATAGCAAGGTGTAGAAAACTTATTTAAAAAATAGTAAGAGAAAATATTGCAAACTTAGAGAAAGATTATCCAGATACTAAAAGGTCAAAGATCACTAACCTGATTCAACCCAAATAAGACTACTCCAAAGCATATAATAATCAAATTTTCAAAGGCCAAACACAAAAAGAGGATTGTAAAAGCAGCAAAACAAAAGAAACAACATATAAAGGAGCTCTAATTAAAGACATTTCCAGACACACAAAAGCTAAGGAAATTCATCACCACCAGACTGAGCTTATAAGAAATGCTAAAGGGAGTTATTCAATATGAAAAAAAAAGAATGTTAATGTGCAAAATGAAAACATCTGAAAGTATAAAACAATGGAAAAGGCAAGAACAAATACAAATGCAGAATACTCTAAACTTGTGATGTATCAACCACTTATACCTTTAGTATGAGGACTAAAAGACAAATTTATCAAAAATAATTACATAATTTCTTAAGAGATAGGAATATATAAAGATAAAAATTGAGACAAAAAAGGTCAAAATGTGGGGAAATTGAATCATTTTTTTCTTTTATTTGAGTCAAAGTTAAGTTGCCATCAGTTTAAGTTGTTATATCCATAAAATATTTTGTAAGCCTTATGGTAATCATAAATCAAAAATACAGATATGTTAAAAATAAAAAGTAAGAAATTAAATAAAACATACTACCAGAAAAAAACACTTAGCCAAAAAAAGACAGTAGAAAAGAAAAAAAGGGAGAACTTACAATACAACCAGAAAATCAGAAACAAAATGGTAGTAGTAAGTCCTCACCTATCAATAATAACACTGAATGTAATAAACTAAATTATGCAACTGAAAGAACAAGACCCAATCATATGCTGCCTACAGGAAACTCACTTCACCTATAAAGATAAACATAGACTAAAAGTGAAGGAGAAAAAAAAGATTCCATACAAATGGAAACCATAAAAAAGCAGTAGCTAAACTTATATCAGATAAAATAGACTTCAAGTCCAAAACTATCAAGAGACAAAGAAGGTCATTATATAATAATAAGTGGGTCAATATAACAGGAGCATATAGCAATTATAAATACATATGTACTCCAACACTGGATCACAAAAATATATAAAGCAAATATTAATAAATATAAAGAAAGAGACAGACTGTAACACAGTAATAATAGGAGACATTAGTGCCCCTCTTTAAGCAATGAACAAGTCCTCCAGACAGAAACTCAACCAAAAAAAAAAAAAAATAGAGTTTCCAGACCAAAAAGACTTAACTGATATTTACAGAATATTTCAACAAACTACTGAAGAATACATATTATTTTCATCAGCCTATTGAACTTCTCCAGGATAGACCATATCTTAGGCCACAAAGCAAGTCTGAACAAATTCAAAAGAGTAGAAATCATATCAAGTATCTTTTCTGACCACAATGGAATAAAACTAGAAATTAATAACAAAAGGAGACCTTGGAAATTGCACAGATACATGAAAATTAAACAACATGGCCTTGAAAAACCAATGGGTCAATGAACACATTGCAAAGAAAATTTTGAAATTCCTTGAAACAAATGAAAATGGAAACACTACATACCAAAACCTATGCAGTATAGCAAAAGTAGTACTAAGAAAAAAGTTTACAGCAATAAATGCTTACATTGAAAAAGAAAAAAGACTTCTAAAACTCAACCTAACTATGCATCTAAAGGAAATAGAAAAGCATGAACAATCCAAACTGAAAATTCATAGAAGGAAAAATACTAACAATCAGAGCAAAAGTAAATGAAATTGAGATGAAAAAGAAAATAGAAAAATAATCAACAAAATAGAAAGCTGTTTGAGAAGATAAACAAAATGGATAAACCTTAGTGTGACTAATTAAGAAAAACAAAGACCCAAGTAATATCAGAGATGAAAAATGAAACATTACAACTGATACCACAGAAATATAAAGGATTATTGGAGATTATTGTGAAGAACCATACACCAACAAATTAGAAAATTTAGAAGACATGAATAAATTCTTAGAAGCATACAATCTTACAAGATTGAATCATGAGGAAATAGAAAAACTGGACAGCCCATTAAGTAATGAGGTTGAATCAGTAATTTTAAAAATCTCCACAAAGAAAGTCCGTAACCAGATAATTTCATTGCTAAGTTTTACCAAACTTTTAAAGAAAATATAATACTGATTTTCCTCAAACTAATCCAAAAAATTTGAAGAGGAAAGAACTCTTTCAAACTCATTCTATGAGTTCAACATTACCCTGAAACCAAAACCAGACAAGGGCACAACAAAAAGGCAAATTGGAAGCCAATATCCCTGATGAACACAGATGCAGAAATCCTCAACAAAATTTTAGCAAACTGAATCCAACAGCATATCAAAAAGATTATTCATCATGATCAAGCAAGATTTATCCCAGGGATGCAAGAATGGTTCAATAAATAAATAAATAAATAAATGTGCTATAGCACATGAACAGACTGAAGGACAAAAACCTATTATTTCAATGAATGCAGAAAAAGCATTTGATAAAATGTAGCATCTGTTCATAATAAAAACTCTCAACAAATATAGAAAAAAACATACCCCAAAACATTAAAGGCTGTATATGACAAACCCATAGCTAACATCATGCTGAATGGGGAAAATTTGAAAAACTTTATTGTCAAATTTGGAAAACGAAAAAGATACCTAGTTTCATCACTTTTATTCAACATCATAGCAGAAGTCTTAGCTAGAGCAATTAGGTAACAGAAAGGAAAAAAAAGGCATGCAAATGAAAAAGGAAGAAGTCAAATTGTCCTTGTTTGCAGATGACATAATCTTATACTTAGAAAAACCTAGAGTCCACCAAAAACCTGTTAGAACTAACAAACTAATTCAATGAAGTTGCAAAATATAATACTAAATCATGACACAAACAAACAGTAGTATTTCTATATTCCAACAGTGAACAATCTGTAAGAAATCAAGAAGGTAATTCCATTTATAATAGTTACAAAAAAATAAAATACCTAGGAATAAATTTCACCAAAGAGGTGAGACAGCTCTGCCATAAAAACTATAAAATACTGAAGAATGAAATTAAAAATGACACACAAAAAATTAAAAGACATATCATGTTCCTGGAGAAAAATAATATTGTTAAAATGTCCATACTACCCAAAGTGATCTACAATGTCAATGCAATTCCTATCAAAATAACAATGATATTTTTCACAGATTTAGAAAAAAATTTCTTAAAATTTGCATGGAACTACAAAGAACCCCAAATAGTCAAAGTAGTCCTGAGCAAAAAGAACAAAGCTAGAGGCATTATAATACCTGACTTCAAAGTATACTACAAGGCTATAGTAACTAAAACAGCATGATATTGGCATAAAAACACAAAAACTAATGGAATAGCACAGAGAACTCAGAAATAAGTCTATGCATTTACAGCCAACTCATTTTCAACCAAGACACCAAGAACATAAACGGACAGTCTCTTCAATAGATAATCCTGGTAAAACTGGATATCCATATGCAGAAGAATGGAAATAGAACCTTGTCTCTCACCATATACAGAAATCACTCAAAATGAATTAAAGACTTAAATGTAAGACCTGAAACTATGAATCTATTAGAAAAAACACTGGGAAAACATTTTAGGACATTAATCTGGACAATGATTTTTTTGGGTAACACAGGTGACAAATGAGATTCTATAAAGATTTTATAAAAAAAAAAGCCTCTGCATAGCAAAGAAAAAAACCAATAGAGTGAAGAGGTCATCTACAGAATGGTAAACTGATGTGGTTTGGCTCTGTGTCTCCACCCAAATCTCATCGTGAATTGTAATCCCCACATGCTGAAGGAGGGACCTGCTGGTAGGCGATTAGATCATGGGAACAGTTTCCCCTTGCTGTTCTCATGATAGTAAAGGAGTTCTCACAAGATCTGATGGTTTTAAGTGTGGCACTTCCTCGCTCTTCTCTCTCTCTCTCCTGCCACCTTCTGAAGAAGGTACTTGCTTCTCCTTCACCTTCCACCACAATTGTAAGTTTCCTGAGGCCCCCCAGCTGTATGGAACTGTGAGTCAATTAAGCCTCTTTCTTTTATAAGTTACCCAGTCTCAGGTAGTATCTTTATAGAAGTGTGAGAATGGACTAATACAGAGAATTGGTATTGGCAAAGTGGAGTACTGCCACAAAGATAACCTGAAATGTGGAAGTGATTTTGGAACTGGGTAACAGGCAGAGGTTGGAACCGTTTGTAGGGCTCAGCAGAAGGCAGGAGGATATGGGAAAGTCTGGAACTTCCTAGAGACTTGTTGAATAGTTTTGACTAAAATGCTGATAGCGATATGAAAAATGAAGTCTAGGCTGAGGTGGTCTCAGAAGGAGATAAGGAACTTTTTGGGAACTGGAGTAAAGGTCACTCATGCTATGCTTTAGCAAAGAGACTGGCGGTATTTTGCCCCTGCCCTAGACATCTGTGGAACTTTAAACTTGAAAGAGATGATTTAGGGTATCTGCTGGAAGAAATTTCTAAGCAGCAGTGTTCAAGAGAGAACGTGAATTATTCTGAAAGCTTTCAGTTATATATGATCACAAAGAGATGGTTTGAAATTAGAACTTAGTTTAAAAGGGAAGCAGAGTATAAAGGTTTGGAAAATTTGCAGCCTGACCATGTGGTAGAAAAGAAAAACCCATTTCCTGGGAAGGAATTTGAGCCAAGCTGACTGCAGAAATTTGCTCAAGTAAGGAGGAGCTGAATGTTATTAGCAAAGACAATGGGGAAAATGTCCCCAGGGCATGTCAGAGACCTTCAGAGCAGCCCCTCCCATGACAGACCCAGAGGCCTAGGAGGGAAAAATGGCTTCACAGGCCGGGCCCAGGGCCCAGTGGATCCGTGCAGCTTCAGAACTTAGTGCCCTGCATTCCAGCTGCTCCAGCTCCAGCTGTGGCTAAAAGGGGCCAAGGTTACAGCTGAGGCAATTGCTTCAGAGGATGTGAGCCCCAAGCTTGGTGGCTTCCACATGGTGTTCAGCTTCCACATGGTGTTCAGCTTGTGGGTGCACACAAGACAAGAGCTGAGCTTCAGGAGCCTCTGCCTAGATTTCAGAGGATGTATAAAAATGCCTCGATGTCCAGGGAGAAGTCTGCTGCAGTGGAGTCCTCGTGGAGAACCTCTGCTACGGAAGTGCGGAAGGGAAATGTGGGGCTGGAGTCCCAACACAGTCTCCACTGGGGCACTGCCTAGTGGAGCTGTGAGAAGAGGGCCACCACCCTCTAGACCCCAGAAAGGGAGATCTGCCAACAGCTTGCATTATCCACCTGGAAAAGCTGCAGTCACTCAACACCAGCTTGTGAAAGCAGCCACAGGGGTTGTACCCTGCAGTCACAGGAACAGGGCTGACCAAGGCTGTGGGAGCCCACTGCTTGCATTAGTGTGCCCTGGATGTGAGACATGGAGCCAAAAGAGATTTTGGAGCTTCAAGATTTAATGGTTACCCTGCTGGATTTTGGACTTTCAAGGGGCCTATGTCCCCTTTTTTTTTGGTCAATTTTTCCCAATTTGGAATGGGAACATTTATCCAAAGCCCACACCTCCATTGTATCTTGGAGGTAACTAACTTGCTTTTGATTTGACAGGCTCATAGGCAGGAGGGACTTGCCTTGTCTCAGATAAGGCTTTGGACTTGGACTTTTGAGTTAATGCCGGAATGAGTTAAGTCTTTGGGGGACTGTTAGGAAGGCATTATTGATTTTGAAATGTGAAAAGGACATGGGATTTGGGAGGAGCCAAGGGCAGAATGATATGGTTTGGCTCTGTGTCTCCACCTAAATCTAATCTCAAATTGTAATCCCAATGTATTGAGGGAAGGGCCTGCTGGGAGGTGATTAGATCACAGGGGCAGTTTCCCACATGCTGTTCTTGTGATAGTGAGAGAGTTCTCGTGAGATCTGATGGTTTAAAGTGTGGCACTTCCTCAATCTCTCTCTCTCTCTCCTGCTGCCTTGTGGAGAAGCTCCTTGCTTCTCCTTCGCCCTCTACCATGATTGTAAGTTTCCTGAGGCCTCCCCAGCCATGCAGAATTGTGAGTCAGTTAAAGGACTGACAATAAAGTCAGGAAAGAATTCCTTTATAAATTACGTAGTCTCAGATAGTATCTTTATAGCAGTGTGAGAATGGACTAATACAGAAAAAATACTTGCAGTTTATCCATCTGACAAGGAATCAATAACTTGCATCTATAACAACCTCAACTCAACAGCAAAAATTAAATCTGATGTAAAAACAGACAAATGGTCTAGATAGATATTTCTAAAAAGAAGACATACAAATGTCAAACAAGTATATAAAAAGTGTTCAACATTACTAATCATCAGAGAAATACAAATCAAAACTGCAATGAGATATAATTTCATCCCAGTTAAAATGGCTATGATCAAAAAGACAAAAAAATAACAGATGCTGGCAAGGAGAAAGAGGAAGGTTTGTAAACTGATTATGGGAATGTAAATTAGTACAGCCATTATAGAAAAACAGTATAATAGTTCCTCAAAAAAACAAAAATAAAAATACCATATGACCTGGCAATCTTACTGCTGGGTATATCCAAAAGGAAATCAAATCGAAGTGATATTTATATTTCTATGTTTATTGTAGTGCTATTCATAGCAGCTAAGGTATGGAGTCAGGATTGCTAGATCATATAGTATTTTTATTTTCACAGCCTCCGGTAACCGCCATTCTACTCTCTACCTCCTTGAGATAAACTTTTTAGCTCTCACGTATGAGTAAGTACATGTGATATTTGTCTTTCTGTGCCTGGCTTATTTCAATTAGCATAATGTCTTCCAAGTTCATTCATGTTGCTGCATATGACAAGAATTCCTTCTTTTTATAGCTGAATAGTATTCCATTGTGTGTATGTGTGTGTGTGTGTGTATATATAGTGTACTATATATAGTACACATACACACATATATATCACATATATATACACACATATATATATCATGATAAGTGTTTGAGTTTATTTGTTTGAGATAATAAATGTCTGCATTTGATGGATAACCAAATTATTCTGATTTGATCATTAAACATTGTATATATGTATCAAAATATTATGGGTATCCTATTAATATGTAAAATCGTTATGTATCAATTAAAAAGTGTTGAGGTATAAAATCAAAGAATGACTAAGACACTATATCAGACTGAAGAAGCCTAACGAGACATAGCAACTAAAAACAAAACATAATTCTAAACTGGGCCAGGTGTGGTAGCTCATGTCTATAATCCTAGCACTTTAGGAGGCTGAGGCGGGAGGATCACTTGAGCCCAGGAGTTTAAGACCAGCCTGAGGCAACACGCCAAAACCCTGTCTCTACAAAAAATACAAAATTTATCCCGGCATGATGGTGCACACCTGTAATCCCAGTCTTCTGCCTCAGTCTGTAGTCCCAGACTGAGGCAGAAGAACTGCTTGAGCCCAGGAGGCAGAGGTTGCAAAGAGCTGAGATTGCACCACTGCACTCCAGCCTGCGTGACAGAGACCCTGTCTCAAATAATAATAAAAATAATTATTATTATAAAATTGATCCTTTTTCTATAATGGACTTTGTTGGAATACCTGAGAAAAACTGAAAAGGGTCTAAGGATTAGATGGGATAACATACCAATGTTAATTCCTAATTTTGATGGCAATTGTAATTAGGAAGGAGAATATCCTTATTTGTAAAAAATGTACACTAACGTATTTGAAGGAAAGATGGGCAACTTACTTTTAAATGGCTTTAAAAATAGACACTTGTACTCTTGCAAATTCTAATTTTAAGACTACATCCAAATAAATAACTTTTCTAGGCATTTAAGATTATTTCAAAATAAAAAGTATATAATAAAAATGATTTTTAAAAAATTTGAGAAATAGACTAGAGTCCTGATTCTGAAAATCAAGAGTGTGAGGTTATTTAACATTTCCTTACTAATTTATAACAATTGTATTATTATTTTTAACTTGATGAATATTTTACAATACACTTAGAAGAAACACAGTAGACAGAATAGTAAGAAAATATCTGAAAAAAGAAGAGTAATTAATGCACAGGGCTTGTACTACCTGATATTAGAAAAGTATTAGAAATATACAATAAATTAAAACAATGTAGCATTTTCACCCAATAAGCAGAGCAATGGCAATGAATAGAAAGTCCAGAAGATTCAACTATGTGTAAAAATTTTGTACATGAAAAAGTACACATATCAAATTAGTGTGGAAAGATAGGCTCTTCAATACTATCATTTTTAGGGTACAATCTTTTGGCTTCCCTGGGCCACACCGGAAGAAGAAGAATTGTCTTGGGCCACACATAAAATATAGTAACACTACACTGTTGGTGGGACTGTAAACTAGTTCAACCATTGTGGAAGTCGGTGTGGCAATTCCTCAGGGATCTAGAACTAGAAATACCATTTGACCCAGTCATCCCATTACTGGGTATATACCCAGAGGATTATAAAATCATGCTGCTATAAAGACACATGCACACGTATGTTTATTGCGGCACTATTCACAATAGCATAGACTTGGAACCAACCCAAATGTCCAACAATGATAGACTGGATTAAGAAAATGTGGCACATATACACCATGGAATACTTTGCAGCCATAAAAAATGATGAGTTCATGTCCTTTGTAGGGACATGGATGAAGCTGGAAACCATCATTCTCAGCAAACTATCGCAAGGACAAAAAAACCAAACACCGCATGTTCTCACTCATAGGCGGGAATTGAACAATGAGAACACATGGACACAGGAAGGGGAACATCACACACCGGGGACTGTTGTGGGGTGGGAGGAGTGGGGAGGGACAGCATTAGGAGATATACTTAATGCTAAATGACAAGTTAATGGGTGCAGCACACCAACATGGCACATGTATACATATGTAACAAACCTGCACGTTGTGCACATGTACCCTAAAACTTAAAGTATAATAATAATAATAATGAAAAAAAAAAGAAAAAAGATCTATCAAGCAAATGGAAAACAAAAAAGGTCAGGGGTCACTATTATTTTATTTTACTTTATTTTATTTTATTTTATTTTATTTTTGAGACTGAGTCTCTCTGTGTCGCCAGGCTGGAGTGCAATGGTGCGATCTCGGCTTACTGCAACTTCTGCCTCCTGGGTTCAAGCAATTCTCCTGCCTCAGCCTGCTGAGTAGCTGGGACTACAGGCACACACTACCACGCCCAGCTAATTTTTGTATTTTTACCAGATAGAGATGGGGTTTCACCATGTTGGCCAGGATGGTCTTGATCTCTTGACCTCTTGATCCACCCACCTTGGCCTCCCAAAGTGCTGGGATTACAGGCATGAGCCACCACGCCCAACCAGGGGTCACTATTATATCAGATAAAACAGACTTTGAATCAGACAACAGAGCCAGGCACAGTGGCTCATGCCTATAATCCCTGAGCTTTGAGAGGCTGAAATATGACAGAGCAGGAGTATCACCATCTTGCACAAGCACTGTTATTTTCCAATTCACATTAATCAAAAACTGCCTAAATCCAAAGGGCATCAGCCTAAATGGCTAAGATCAGCATGATCATAAACAAAAAAAAATCTCCGACCAGAAACATTCCAAATTCCTCTGCAACCAGAGACATGCTAGCTGCCCCCCTCCAGCTGGGAAGATGCCAGCCCCGAGATAACCCCCTTCCTGCTGGAAAGATGTCAGCCCCAAGATAATCCCCCCTTCACCCAGAGACATTCCAACCTCACCATAAACTTCTCCCCTACACATACACATTCCAAGCTTGTGATAAGCCCCCTCACCCTAAAACCAATGTATACTCATGTACTTTGTCTGTAAGAGAAAGCGCTCCTGATTGAAATCAGCCAGAAGCCCTTCTCAGGTTTTATCGAAAGTAAACCTGTCTTTAACTGCCAAAAAAAAAAAATCGATATATATAGATAGATAGATAGATATAGACATATACTAACACTAATGATGGCTGATGAGCAAAAAAAAAAAAAAAAAAAAAAAAAAAAAAAAAAGAAGAAGAAGAAAGCTAAAGAACAGAAAGGAAACTGCAAAAAAAAAAAATCATCATATTTTAAGGAAGTTTACAAATTTGTGATGGGCCACATTCAAAGCCATCCTGGACCCCATGTGGCCCAGGGCCTGTGAGTTGGACAAGTTTGGTTTAGATCCTTATATCATACTTAATAACAAAACACATTTTGGATGAAAAACATGTAATTGTAAAAACTCAAGACATAAAGCTATCTAAAGAACATATGGGTTAATATGTACATAATTTGGCTTCTCAGAATCTAAGCTTGATGTTAAAGAAAGAAACAGTAACAAAGATCTATAGCTGTGTTTACATAAACAGAATAAATGGACAGTAGATTAGAAAAATTAGATGAAATCTCAAAGATGAAAATCATTTGGCAAATACATATTTTTATAGTTTTATATCATTAGCTATCAAAGACTTGCCAATTTATACAATGAGAAGAAAGATCATACCTATTGGATTGGAAAATATCAAAAAGAATGTAATATCTGTATTGCACAGGGCACAACGAACTTCTGCCTGAGACATTTCACTGGGCTATGACCTTTATGGAAGGCACCTTAGGAATATACATTGAAATAATTTAAAGTGTGCATATCTTTAAACCCAAGAATTCATGATCAATAATTTATCCTAAGAAAATAATCAAACTGTGCATTGAAATATGCAGTTCATAGTTAACAGAAAAAAGAAATGAAAGCAAAAAAAAATTCAAGCAATAAATTGTTAAATTATAGTATACAATAATATTACATTGTATACTAATTATATCTTAAAATTATAATAATTACATCTTCCAATTATATTATAATTATGCCTTCTAATATTTCACATATTAATATGTGAAAGAAATGTATGACAGAGCATTAAAATACCATCTTTGTTATATATACTTATTATATTTTATTTATGTATATATACTTTCAAATAATATGCACACACACATAAACAAATAAAAAGAAAGAGAATGGATGAATAAAAGGAGCTACCTTGTGATGACAGAATTCTGTTTTTTTCTTCCTATCTGCTCAATTGTTTTTTTTCTCATTATTAAGATGAGTATTTGTTTAATAAAAGTAATAAAAGCCACAAAATTTTATGAGTAAAACTTAGTCTGAGAAGAATAGGGAGGCAGAAAGTTTACATAAAAGTTTAGTTTAAGAAGAAACACCTAAAAAACATAGTTAATTTAATATTTCATATTGTGCATTCATTCCCTTTATGTTTTGTATTACAATATCTGTTACACAAGTTACATGTACAAGAACTATTTATAAGTTACAAAATAATTGTATAACTGATAGAGACCCAAACATCATTATCTTTGAAATTGCAAGTTATTGTTGCAAGCAATGTTATTGAATTATTGCATTTCTGTGTGGTGTATGATAATTAAGCAACTCAAAATAATTCCTATTAGTGTCTGATACATATTTTCTAAGAGTGTTTAAATCCACATAATGATAGCAAAATATGAATTGCTAATTTTATAAAGAAAATTATTGTTTCCATTAAAGTAAAAATGCTTATATGATTCAGATAATTAAGCAAAATAGAAAATCACTATTTTTTGTAAATAGATTATTTAGAGAATTAAGTTCAAGTATCACATACCAAGACATTTTAAAAATAGTTTTAATCAGTGAGCTTTTAAAATTACTTAATTCTATAGTCTTAAAATTGAAAAAGACCATTTAAAAAAGATAATCAGAAAATTTATGTTTAATTCATTTCTACTTCTACGAACTCTCTTGAACTTCTATAGTATATTTAAGTTTAATGGCATGAATAACTAATTACAAATGTAATTTGCGACACCATAGATATTACCTTGAGACATGGAAGAATATGTCAAATGTAATATCTAATACAAAAAAGGTAGATCATTTTCTATGAAAAAAATAACATGCATTATTAATTCCAAGTAATGGATTTCCAGGTTTACCAGTTTGTACTCTCAAGAGGTTTCAATTTTATAATTGCAAGAGCACATATTTCCATTATTGAACATAAGAGTTGAATTCATACAGACAGATGAATATTACAGTTTGATCATGGTATCATAAAGATTTATTTTATATGAACTTTCAAAAACATTATTTGTAGAAGATCTCAGAATAAATACTTGGGTTTCTTTATATGTCTCTCAAAATACATTAGACTCACTTTAACTATATATATTAAAGTGATGAAATCTTTGTGCTTGGGCCATATCAGTATCCATTTAATCATATCAAATTCTAAAGAATACAAATATTATTTGCAACTATATGTCTCCCACCTCTTCTTTCGAATCTTGATGCTCACATGCTTTGGAATGATATCTAAGTAAGAAATTAACACATTGTTTTGTAGGTATATTTTTGCATGTCTTTTACCAGAAAAAGCCTCAGGATTACATGTAGTAGGGGTCAGCTTTGTGATCAAAGCAATATTTTCTGAACTAACTGAAACACGGAGTCTTTTAGAAAATAGAAAGCAAAAGAAATATGAGTTAGGGAAAACAACTCACACAGTGAAATTCATGGGAAGACGCTGCTCCTGGTTGCCTGTTTTTCCTTTGGCCCTTCAGGGCCATTTCTGAAAGCTGAGTTATCACCAAAAGAACAGAATGAAATCATTCCAATGAGGTGCTGCATATTCTGCATATACTATCTCATTAAACCCTCTCATTCTATGAGGAAGATATTATCTCTATTTTGCAAATGAAGAAATGAGGCTTAGAGGGATAAGGAGCTTGCATGAGGTTATTCAGTTTAGAAGTCTGGGCAATGGAATGCATATATTGAGCATCTATGCTCACTCCTTTGGTGGTGTAATCTAATCTCATGGCTTAAATACCATCTATATGTCAACAAGTATAATGTAAGTGATGTAAGTGTTATATAGAAACAAAGTGCTTGAGCTTCAAGGTCCTTATCTGTGACGCTCATGAATCTATCATTTCCAAGATAAATAAACTCAGTGGTGTCAACCAATAATCACACCTGGTAATAGCTAATATTCATTTTATGTATGCACTCTTATTGTGTGTTAGGCTCTATACCAAGCTCTCTCTCTCTCTCTCTCTCTCTCCCTCTCTCTCTCTCTATATATATATATATTTACTCCTTGCAATGTTCCACAGGTAGAGTTCTCCTTATCTCCCTTTATCAATAGGGAAACTGAAGCATAGAGAGACTAAATAACTTAATGGCAGAGGCTCCTCTGATTTTAAGGCCTATACCCTGAATCCATCCAATTTCTGACTCTACTACAATATATTACCTTTTTCTCTGCTATACTCAATGGTATCCTATATTCATATAGAGTTTAATAGTATATAAAATGCCTTTTCAGACTTTGACCTATTGGTCCTTTAATACTACTCTACGAAACAGGCAAGAATATGTTGTCTTTCTTATTTTATAGGGAAAAACACTGAAAGCCAGGTTGCACTGCCTTCAGCAATCATTAGCATACGGCAAAGTCAAAACTTACCTATGTCAACTTATATCTACATCATCCAACTTCAATCCCAGTGTACTATGCATAGCATCAAGCTTCTTTCCATTCTACTTTTTCCGGGAGAGATTTGTCTTCATACCGCTAAACCGCTTGTTGAGAACTTAAAAAATAAGGATCAGAGAAAGACATAATGCCTGTCAGTTGCTTTAAATTATCCCCCCTCCTACTTCCTGCCATCTCAGATTTAAATAGCAATCCCTATATAATAGGAGCTGTAAATTTGCCTATTTTGCACTTGACAAAGGAGGTTTTTGCCGAAAGCCTTGCTCAAAGGTCCAGAATTTAACCACATACAACTGAGTTACTACAATTATTTGGAATAATGTTAAATCTAACTATTTGAAATCACCCTTTAATAACAATTAGCTTGAAAAACAAATGCGGTTTTCAAAACACTGCAAATGTTCTGACTTTGCTTGATGAAGAATCAAAGACCAAGGAGAAGTTTGGCTCACTTGGCAGTTGCCTCCTTGATAGCCCTCTTGTCTCCATCTGCATCTTATTGTGGGCTCTTGTTTCAATTTATTTGTTTAGGGATTTCAGGTGGACTTCTCTGATGACGTTATTCATATGTGGACATCTTAGGGCCTCTTCCCTGCTCTGTCTCAGGATGCTTTCTTATCTGATTCCTATTGTCTGTCATTCTAGGCTGCACACCCTCTTGGGCCTTCTCAAAACCACCCACTTCACCTTTCGTGGTCCTGCTCCTCCAAATCTGATTTCCAAAGTGAGATGTTGCTCCTTAAATCATCCTCCCTTTCTCTCCCCAAAGACATTAATGTTCAGGTCCTTTTCTTTTCAAGGGTTTTACTATTAAACACAAATGGACACATTGCTGTAGATCCCTTCCTCAGTAATGGTCCCTCTTTCTAGACTAAGAAGTTTTTGGTGCTTTTTTTTTTTTCACATGGAGATGTTGCATATCATATAATGTAGTTCTAGTCTCTTAACTAAGGTTCTGAGGTGGCAAACTGAAGCCTCTATGTACCTTTTGCTAAACAAAGCATAGCGGTAATTCTCAGATTACAAAGAAAGGACCACACTGACCCCTTACTTAAGTCCATTGGTTTCCTAGCGTCCTGAGGATTCCTTCTTCTCCAGTCCAATTCAAAGATAGCCATTTAATCATTCCTAAGCAGGAGACATGCCCTCTACTCACTCTGCTCCCTGCCCTTTCCCATCTTTTTGTATACTACCAAGAAGAGTACTATATAACATATCTCCTTTATCACACTCAAATCAGTATTCAAGCATCCTCTCTGTTTCTGTTAAGTCAGCAACACAGCTACCAGTTTGCTTGCAGACATAGCTTGAAATAACAAGATGTGAGGATGATCTTTTTCGGTACCAGACATGCCCCTCTCCCTTCCAGGCCCCCACTCCTGTTCCCATATGTTCACATCCTAATACAATGTAAGTATGAAGATGCTTTGGAGGCACTTTGGGGTACCTTCCCGAACCCAGGATCTTCTGTGTGCACAGTGGACTCATGATATTCACTACAGTGTGGAACCGCGTGCTGGGGACACCTTCTCTGTACATACAAAGCTCACATCATCTCTTCTACCTTCACTAGTCACCTGTTGTACCACAACCACTGCTGCTTCCTTTCTTGTTCTTTTTCCAGGGAGAAGAAGGTTCTTGAAACCTTTTGCCCATAGGGTAGCCAGAATCACCTGGTATGTTTAGCTCCAGGGCTTCCCATTTGACCTGCTGCTCTGGCCCTGAACTTCTCTAGACATCTGGGGTCAAGGCTCCTGAAGGAAGTGATAACCAATGTCTTCCAGAGTTTTGGAAGTTAACAAAATTGCTGTAGATCTCTTCCTCAGTAATGGTCCCTCTTTCTAGACTAAGAAGTTTTTATTTATTTAATTTTAATTTTATTTTTGAGATGGAGTCTTGCTCTGTCACCCAGGCTGGAGTACAGTGGCATGATGTCAGCTCACTGCAACCTCTGCCTCCTGGGTTCAAGCGATTCTTCTGCCTCAGCCTCCCAAGTAGCTGGGACTACAGGTGCATGCCACCACGCCCAGCTTATTTTTGTATTTTTAGTAGAGATGGGGTTTCATCGTATCGGTCAGGCTGGTCTTGAACTCCTGACCTTGTGATCCGCCCACCTCAGCCTCCCAAAGTGCTGGGGTTACAGGCATGAGCCACAGCACCCGGCCGAGAAGTCTCATTTTTAAAATTAAAATAAAATAGGTAGATGGATGGATAGATAAAACAAAAAATATATGAACTTCCTTGTCTCAGAGGCAAATTTGTGTTCTTAAAAGTTCTGCAGGCAGAAGGACACTAGATCACAGTCACATTGCATCCCCGACTTCCTTAGTCCATCGCTTCCCCCAAAAATGGATTAGGAATGGGCAGTCTGCGAGGGAAGCATGTTGGCTAGGGTGGGCAAGGCAGAAAGAGAAGGAAAGACTCTTAAAAAGAAAAGAAGGATAAATATCGCCAGGGAGTCAAGCACAAGCAATCTTTCTTATTCCCTCCTTTCCATCTGTAGCACAAACCCCAGTTAATCAATTACTTTCTTGAAGAGAATTACTGTTACGTGGAAAGCGACCTAAGAAAGCATTTGTTGTCAGCATTATGCACTGCAGGCCTTATCACAATCAGGCCAAAAAAGTACCATTACAGAGCCAAAGGAGATCATCTAATTTCATAGAATCCCTTCTTGTGAAAGTATGTTATTGGATATGCCTGATGCTGTCAAAGTGGGGTGGAGGAAGGCTGAGCAGTACTAAGAATACGGCTTTTTTTGTGGTTGTTCAAAGAAGAACTATAGCAATTCTTCCTTTCCAGTGTTTTTATAATTTGGTTTAGAATCAGCCAAGACAAAACAAGAGAAGGGCTGGAAACCTTCCCTC
Organism: Homo sapiens; assembly: GCF_000001405.40. Taxonomy (NCBI): domain Eukaryota; kingdom Metazoa; phylum Chordata; class Mammalia; order Primates; family Hominidae; genus Homo; species Homo sapiens. Next base: position 173,412,617 of record NC_000003.12, on the reverse strand, counting down.
CAAGAAGTTGGAATCAATATATTTTCCTGAAATATTTTGTTAGTGTGGTAATTAAGATAGAGTTTCACTCAGAACTTTATGCATTTGACTATTTCCTCATTAAAAAAAAAAGGTCAGTGTGCTAATAAAGATAAATACATTCTATTTTCCTTTCAGGATTTTAATTCTCTCAACCCTATCATAGTACTCAAGAGCAAGCTTACCTGATGTCCTTACAAAATCCTGGTTCTAATGCTCTACAGCAAAATCACCTGTGCAAATATGTGTGCACACTGTGTGTGTGTGTGTGTGTGTGTGTGTGTGTGTCAGAGTGAGAGAGAATGCATTGAGCACTGGCATGTGCATCTGAAAAGTTTTAGTCTTAATTCCTCATTCTTTATTTTTGGTAGCATCATTAACATTACAAAAACAGTAAACTGGTATAGGTTTCAAACATGCAAACTTGCTAATAGTATTCTGCAGAGGGACAATTCCAGGATCAGAGAGAATACTTCTTGCTCCAAACACAATTTTACATTTTGAAATATGATTTACTTTCTGGATTGCAGCCAGGCAATTACCATTCACAAATATTTCAAGTGAGAGAGAGAAAGTGGTTGCTACTAGTCCCATAATTTGGAATTGCTGCTAACAGATTTTACATATCATCTACTTTTCTGCCATTCTCTTTCAGAAAATACAATTAAACCTTAATATTTCTGCATTTTAAGTCTTACTGTCAGCTTCGTCACTGCTTGAAACAAAAGTGTGTAAGTGGCTCCCTCTGGTGCTGCCACTAGTATTAATTTTTCTATTCGCAACCACAGATGTAACCCAGAGAAGCAGGAAAAAGTAGGTAGAAGCCCTCATAACTGGAAATGTCTCTTGGCACACAATCCCACATGGAATAATATTAGATAAGAGATGAGGGGGTTTGGAGGGCGGGGTAGGAATAGATGCTTAATATCTTCCGTGGCCTTTTTTCCTCACTTCATATACACAAAAGGAAATTGCAAAAGCTTTAAGAAAAGTCATGTTTACTAAACCCCAGCCAAAATCCCCCATTCTTGTTGCCTAATACTAATGACCTAAGAAAGTACTTAAGTACTACTTCTAATGGACCTTGACAGGGCCATCAGTCACCAGCCCAGCACTCCACTTGACCTGGGGCCTACATAGCCATGATTAGAGCAAAAGTGGGATCATAAAAAGTCTCTTCCAAGTGGCAACCGAGGGCTCCAGAACAGCACCTCTGAATGGCAGTGGTGAAGGAAGCTGGCAAAACTTCCTTCTGTGGCTGTGGTCCATAGTTCTCTCTGATGACCACTCTTTCAATGTAAGTCCTACTCACAGACAGACAATGTTTGAAATTTAGACTCCGTAAGGGAATGATCTGACTTCTAGGTCAGCCACCACAGTGTACAGTCCCAATGATTAGTTTATAGCAATCTGCAGGCTCTCTCATGCTGATCTTGCCCTCTTTTCTGCCAAAGAGGCAGCACATCTTCCCTGCTATATTTCTCTAAAGCACAGCACAGCCTCCACCACCAGCCAGAATGTTAATGCATTATCACTCTGTACACTGAGAAAACAAGTGACCATATGTAGCCTATGCCAGCGGAGCTGTAACTGTGAAGAACAATGGCTCTGAGTCAACAACAGAATTAAACTACTCCCTCTTGTGAAGCTCTTCTGAATATTTTAAGTGTTGCCTTGAAAGTGTGGGATTATGTGCAAGCATAAACATTAGCTTAATGCAATTTTTTGGTACAGAATATGCCAGAGTTTAAAAATCAGAATTGAAATGCAGAAAATAACTTTGGGATAAATTTAATTTTTTTATGTGTGATTAAAACATGATTGAAGTGGCATACTTTATGTATAATTAAAGTTGCTTTGTAATTAAGAGATTTAAACATGTATAGAAAATGATACAGCCTAGTTTGGAGATTTTACAAAGGCACCTATTAAATACTCACCCCTAGCAAGCCTATGACTCAAATGTTTTCACATTCTAATGCTGATAGAGTTCTTGAATTTTCTAAAGCTGCCAATTTCACCATTTCTAAATGCTTTATCCCTCCTTCCATGTGCTAGTGAAATAAAAGCAGCCCAATCTCCCCTGCATTAACAAAAACATGGATGTAGAACACCATATCTTAACTTCAAAAACTCCAGGTGAATAAAGAAGGACTGTCACAATTGAGGTAGCGTTTGACTCATCTTTGCCTTCTCCATTGTGCCTAGCACCATGTCCCACCCAGTGCTTAGGAAATACGTGATAAATGGCTATTAGTAGGTGAGCACAGTGTGTCCGTGTTTATGTATGGAGGGTTCTCATGATAATGCAAACACTTCTGAACATTTTTATGTGCCAGGCAAAAGTGCTATGTTATTTTGTTTATTCCCATAACGGCCCTATACTTTTTAGAGTTTTAGAATAGCCTGGTGAAGGAATGACACTCAAAATAGACTAGCAGGACTACTCTCAGTGTATTTTTTACAGACAGAAAAACTAAATCAAAGAGAGGTGAAGTCCACACAGAATCATGAATTTTAGTACTAACTTAGCAGCAGTACCACCTATTAAGCTAAAGAATTATGCAGAACAAGTTTGGTTGTTTTCCCCCTTATCTTGCTCATTTGTGTCACCCCTTTCCCAGACCCAAATTCCTCAATCTCCCACCCTCTCCAGAGATTGCCTCTTGGCCCCCCTACAGGTCCCTAAAACATCCTTCTAGTAAGCACCTGGCATTAACCTAGGCTTGTTCTCACTAGCAATGATCTTGGTTTAAACTGATCTTCCTGGCCTTCCCCATCAATACTTGTCTTTTTTATGTTTCATTCTTTTTAGCCAAGTATCACATGGCGGAGGGAAATAGTCAGACAAACTTATTCATATTAGAGTGTTGGTTGCTGATATTTGCATTTAGAAGGCTTTTGCAACATTTCAAAAGCACAATGGAAAATCCTGAATTTGGGTTCTGGATTTAGGTACAGAAAGGATGCCATGTAAGAGACGTGTGTAAGAGACATTGTTGACTGGATACAGGGATCAGGAGACAGGAAATCAGGAGTTGGAAATGGGGGAAAGAAATAATATTCATGAAGATAAGCAAAAAAATATATGGACTGATAGATGAATGCTAGATTTATTTTCCTGGGGGCCAGTGACACGTTTTCTAGGGGCCAGTGACACGTTTTCTAGTGTTTTTCCACATTCCCGTCTACAGTACATATGGAATATGAACAGTTTTTTCCAAGAAAAGTGATTGTTTCTTCTCAGGCTTTCTCATATCAATCATTCAACTATAATTTTCAATTAATAAAGATAAACAGAGGTAGATAGATACACATTTACATATTGATATATATGTATACATATGGCAGTTTTGCAAACCTGAGTGTAGCAGGATAAATAAAAGATATTGCAATGTTAAAGATGGCTCTTTATACTCTTTCTAACACTCTAACAAATTATTCCATTTCCAGTGATTATACCTTCGTTCTCCCCTATAGCAGCACCACCCATACTCTTGTTTTTCTCAGATTTCTATGGTAGAGTGTCCCACGAGAGGCTGTTCTGTGAGATCTCAGGCTTCCTAGGGGTTCTAGAGAAGGCTCGTGAAGAAATGACATTCAAAATAGCATACCAGGACTATTCCCAGCGTATTTTGAGTTACAACTGGCAGAGTTGTAATGCACCTATTCTTTTTTTTTTTTTTTTGAGACAGAGTCTCGCTCTGTTGCCCAGGCTGGAGTGCAGTGGCACAATCTCGGCTCACTGCAACCTCAGCCTCCCGGGTTCACACCATTCTCCTGCCTCAGCCTCCCAAGTAGCTGGAATTACAGGCACCCGCCACCACGCCCAGCTAATTTTTTGTATTTTTAGTAGAGACGGGGTTTCACCGTATTAGCCAGGAAGGTCTCGATCTCCTGACCCTGTGATCCGCCCGCCTCGGCCTCCCAAAGTGCTGGGATTACAGGCGTGAGCCACTGCGCCCGGCCAATGCGCCTATTCTTGAGAAGTTATAGAGGCCATGTTTACGCAGTTCTATAGAAAACATGCTTATGCTCTTCTGAAAGATTCCCTCCCTAATCTCCAGGTGCTGGTTATTCTAGCCACTGGCTCCCAGAATGAGCTGCTGTTTTTATGGAGAGTGACTTCAAGGAGAGTCAGGAGGGATGTGTTGATTTTACATAGAATTTAGTAGAAACGGAAGAATACATCTCTCTTGAAATTGCCCCTCAGACCTTAAAAATGTTAAAAATTTTTAAGTGATGGTGAGTATGACCAATGAGCATTAAAAGACAGATTGGCACCAACTAGATTCTCTCTCCCTTAAGCAAATAGGCATTCTGTCTTGCAATCATCAAATCTGGAGGGACTGCTTGGAGTACCATGTTGAAAAGGAGCATGGAAAAGAAGACATATTGTGTGAGGCAGAACGTTTCTAGTATTTCTTATGGAAAGAGTGCTTGGGCTAGAGAACCATATGTAGGCAGGATTGTGCCACTGCACTCCAGCCTGGGCAACAGAGCGAGACTCTGTCTCAAAAAAAACAAAAATGATAAGAAGAATCTTCTCATTTGATGACAGGCAATCAAATAATCTCAGCTTGATTTTGTATCAACCAGTGTCACAAACAGACATTCTCAGAAAATCATACATTCCATTTTAAATAATTTATTTTTAGTGGACGCAAACTCTTTCTGATATGAGTAATATGAACCAATTTTTCTGAGGACTATTTATTCAAAATAAATGTATAATTGTTATTTCTAATCTGCAGAGGCCCTAAACCAAAATACTGAATGCTAAATAAGATGTATGATTTCAATAAGCATTTTTCTTTGCTTTCTACAATGATATTTCTCAATGTGTTGTATGTGTGTGTTTACTTTTGAAAGAATCTAGAATGGCCAACTGCCCCTGCTGCCTGTCTTAGTCTTGATTTTTATTGCTTTTATGCAAGCAATGCTTGCTCCCTCTTCTCTATTTATTCATATCCTAATCTCCTTTAAATAATACCTCCTCCACTAACTTTGCTAAAAATATGACTCCCCTTTTTTATCAGTTCTGGTGATTATTACCTATACTTCTAAAATTCTAGTAATTATGTAATCATGGTAACTTATATACAGAATATATGGTGCCGATGTATGTATTACTGCTCTTTAAATAAAACTAATGCATGAAGGCATTATGTGAAGATCAGGTTCCAGCTCTACCATTGCATAAACAAGCAAATCATTTTTTTCCTCTGGACTTCAGTTTTGTCACATGTAAACTAAGGAAGTGAGCCTATGTTATCTAAAACCCACCATGGCCCTTTCAGCTTTTCAGCTGGAAAGACCATTGAAAATTTATTAAAGTTTTTAGAAATAAATGATTCCTTTGTACAATATGTTTTACAAACCACCTTAGGTCAAAAAATGTGATTCTACGCATTTAGTCATAAAGATGTGATTACAATATGAATATAATCTCTGAACTCTATTTAATGATCTGAGACTCTAAGCCATTAAATAGTACTCTCCATCTTGAAACCTAGTATCTTGAATATTTTTCTTAAGGACAAAGTGACACAACTAGAGGATTAAAATAATTTAATTAATAATTTTATAGAAACCTACTTACTTCAGTAATACTGTATCATGTTTTTGATATCTTAATTGTATTATGAGAGAACTTCAAGAATATCTAGCCAAAATAAAAAAGAAGGATTTTCTTCATGCTCCATAAATCAACTCACTTTTTAAGCAAAGCAGGTAGGTGAGAAGCAACACAGTGTTTTCTCTGTGGTGACTACAGCTACAACGAAAGAAAGGAGAGTGGCACACCTCTGGAGAACTTGTTATTCATCAAAAAGTAAGTGCCCAGCTTTCTGACCACTTAAGAGCAGTGGCAATTTTCAAATACAATACAGGGAAGAAACGCTGTTGTCTGTGGAAATGCACGGTAAGAACGGTCAAGATGTATCCACAAATAGTAGCATCTGACTGGTCCAACTATAGGCTTCTCTTCCTTTGATTTATATATATATATGAATACATATATATGAATTCAATATATATGAATATATATTCATATATATTGATATATATATCTATTCATATATATGTGATTCATATATATATTTGATTCATAGATATATTCGTATATAAATATACATATAAAATAAAATAGTACATCGCCAATTTATACTGAATCATAAAATATGGTTCAGTAATGATAAAATAAAAAAGGGAAACTTCATTTTTACCTGTCAATTTTCTCTTGCTTCTTACTGATAATTCTTTTAAAGAAGAACATTTATATATATAGTGATAGTTAATTCCTTGCATAAGTTTTCTTTGTTCTTGGTGGAAAATGCATTTTCTTCTTGCCTCCTCCCACTTTTACATCCACTATTTGGCTGTGATTTATTTAGTAATCTTTCTCATCCAGTATATTTGAGGATAAGAGTTCCTAAATCCTACTTTTGTTCTGTTGAATCTTCTGCATTGCTTAACAGTTATTTTAAAGAACAAGTAAGATATGTATGGACAAGTCTCCCAAAACATGTAAAATATTAAAGCTATATATGATACAATAAATCTTAAAGTTATATGATACATGTTATATATTTTAAGCTTACCAGCTTACAGTACATCCCTCCACTATTATGTATTTATATCATACTAACTTAAATGTGTAATATATTATTACAGACTTTATTTCTGATTATCTTTACCCAAAACAGATTTTAGAGCCAGGAAACATGTTTAATTTTAATTAGCCTAAACATACATTTGAAAAACGAAAACCAAAGCCTAGAGTGAAGGGATCACTAGAAATGACACAGAGAGTTACTAGAAGAGTCTGCTCCCCAGACATCGGTCTCTTCGTTCCTGGTCTAGTTCTCTTCATTTGTTTTCATCCTACTATTATTTCTTTTCTTAAGACTAGCTATATTTTATATATTACATAATTGGAGGGCAAATAGAGAAAAAAAGAGATAGGATTATATTTTAATCATACTTTCTAAGAATTATGCAATAGTTTCTCTTATCTATTTGGAGATTATTAGTTTGGTTAATTAGTTATCGCTATGGTATTAGTTTGTTTAAAAAACGAGGATCATGTATAATTAAAGTTGCCATATTTCATTGACTCTGACACCTTTAACATATCTGAAATCAAGGTGCATTTTATAATTTCTTATGGCCAAGCAGTAGTGGAGGCATAGTAGCCATAGACTATATATGTGAAAATTGTTGGTATTCTTCTTATTCTTCTTAGCATGACCAGACAACCACCACTCCTGACAGTTCAGGACAATTTAAGGAAGGCAAATGAGTTCTGGTTGTTGTCTGAAAACATTCCATTGTCACATTCTAGTAAAATCAACAACACACCAGGATCAAATCATTCAGAAGGTATCAGCTGCTTGGAATTAAATTCTGGAGACAATCGCGGAGCCCTTCAAAAACAGTGCATCATCAACACATGCATACTATTTTCTGTGGAAAAACATGGCTATGAATGAGTCAAAAAATGATTCAGAAGAGGTTCTGAATAGGATAAATTTTTTTAAATTCTTAAGCTAATGCATCTTGCTAATATATGTTTTATTCATGTAAAAGATGGATATATGTTAAAAATCTATATCTATTTGTCTAAAAATCCTCCTTTATAAAAATATAAAGTAAAAATTCTAAGTAGTAGAGAACGATTGTGGAATTAATACTGGGGTGTTCTTTCCACAGTGTGAATAAAATGCAGTGTTCTAGAATCAGTGCTCCTTGGTTTTGATAAAATACGGTCTATTAAATATAATTAAACATTTAACTCCCTAGCAGAGGTTTCAGGAACTTGCAGTAGCTTAGGCTCATTGCTATGAACCATAATGAATTCACAATGGATTTGTGAAATAAACCTTCTAATCATCTGTACTGTGTCCAGATAAGAGGGTTCAGGTAGATACTCAAAAACATACTTCCATGATGGTCATCACCTGACACAGGAGTGCCCACCACAATATAGATCTATTTAAACTCTATTTCACTATATTTCCACCTTCAAATATATCTTCCATTAAAGCAAAAAGGAAAAGCATCTGTTCCTGACCCTAAACACAGATGGAGTTACTAATTACCATTTTAAGCTTGATTCAAAAATCAATTCTCCTGGAGGCGAGGAGCCCAGTTCAGAGGTGGTTGCTGTGGTGTAAACAGCTCTAGGCATGGAGCCTGAAAATAGAGCATTGTCAATGGAATGATGAGATGCTCAGAAGGCACATTCTAACATACTGAAGGTAAGCCAAGAAGATCACCAACATCCATCACAAAAGTTGCTTTGAAACAGAGAGAGATATCAACCCCATTCTTTTCCTAGTTTATGTTTCCTTTACATTGTGGTTTTGGATCCTTTATACTGAAGAAAGAGTTATTGCAATGAGGTTATTAGAATTCTAAAACTGGAGGGAAAAAAAGTTGAGACACAATTTATATCTGCTCATACAGCAAAATAAATATAATGAATTCAATTTATTTATAATTTATCTCACCTACACTGCCTTAGTTTCCCACCTGTCTGCAAACTACAATATGTATCTCCATAAAAATAACTCAAGCACAACTGCTATCTCTTTTCCCTGAAATCCTATTGCACCATATTGTACCTATTGCTCCTCTCATGCCACAAATTCAGCAGTTTACGGAACACAGTATCGTCTAATTTCCAAACATACATTCATTCAGGGAAAAAAAAGACACGTATTGAGTGATGCGCGATGGCACTCATTTGTTTGTGCATGTATTCATTACATCATTTCTTGTTCTAAAAAATAATTTGAAGCAGCTACGATTTAAAAAAACTCCAGAATAATCAAATATTTAAACAAAGTTAAAGTTTAAAAATGAATCCAAATAATAAAGCAGAGTAAAAGAAGATGATTAAGGACATCTTTTTCAATTGAGCACAAAATTGGCTCTGAGCTTCCATGAAGTCAGGCAAAAGAATGAAAATAAAGCTTTCCTTGTTTACAAAAATGAGTCATAATGTTCAATGAGAGAGATGCTCACTGGTATGTGAGCTGAAAATTAGATCCCTCCCTTGAGCCCCTCAAGTAAATAAACCGTTATCAGAAACAAAGAAGTAATTTTTATTTGTGCAAAGCATATATGAAGTCCTTCTTTATGAGAGTAACTGGCCAAAGGGTTCAGTCATTTCTCATATTATCTCTGAATTATGATGGTGAAATCATATGACAAACATAGATGAGGATACGTGATCTGTTTGGTAAGGTGGACATCCTCTGATTTAACTATAGTTTACATTATATGATCATATAGATAGGTATACGATGACAAAGCAAGGTTTATAATTTAGACATGTAATATAGTATAATTTAGTATTTGTAATTTTACGCAGTACACATTCCTACATTTTCCAATTATTCAGTTTCTATTTTAAAAAAAAACTCTGTAACATCATGAAAGTATGCATTCTACATCAGAAGCATGCAGCCAGACATATACACCATTTATTCCATGGATTCAAAGGCCATGTAATTATTTTTTCATGAATTTAATTTTCACATAGGCATTCCATATTTTAAGAGATCTGAGAAGGACAGATAGTTTGTTTGTGGAACTCCCTGTTAGGAGCCCTAGATAGTTATTGCCTCCTTCTTCCCAGTTAACAGAGCTCTGATTTTTTGTGTGAAGCAGCCAAGTCCACAGGAAAACAGACCTCTTCCCCAGCCCTCAAGGGACCGACCATGATGATCAAAAACAATCATACAACGCATTGTCTCATTGACAGTTGTAAGTTAAGAGTGAAATGTGACATAGTTTTAGTCATTCAGGCATAAAGGGAAGTTTGCTGATATCTTCTGTGAAAAGTTTCCTTCTAGATAAAGAGATATATCCATGAGAAGAAGACTGCTTTTTCATTTCTGCTTTGAGTGGGGCTATGAGAAGAGGTGATGTTTGGCTCTGTGATAATCATATTGTTTATCTTGTTTCCAAGATAAAGACTCAAGAGATTTACAGTGAAGTCGTACCAGAGCCATGACATCCTTGAACTCCTAAGTTAGTCAACCCTGG